>NC_000009.12:100341764-100493279 GCF_000001405.40 Homo sapiens
AAGGAAACGAAATGTATATACATGTAGGACAGGACTGGTCATCCAAGAGATGATGGTTGCTAGAGTTAGACTGTGAGCACCTGGGAGTTCACTAGTGTTCTATTTTTATAAATTCAGCACATTAAAGTTAAATAAATATAATGCAGATCATGCCACTCCTCTGCTCAAAACCCTCCAGTGGTCTTTTCGCCACACTCAGGTTAAAATCCAAACTCCTTACCAGGGACCACAGAGTCCCACATGATCTGGCCACTATCACTCTTCTTCGCCCCCATCTTCTACCATTCTCCCAGTACCTCATTTGCACAGGCCTTCCTGCCATTCTTCAAATATGCGAAGCCTGTTCTCACCTCAAAGCCATTGTACTTGCTGTTTCCTATGCCTGAATGTTCTTCCCACAGATGTTGACAAGACTTGCTCCTTCACTTCAATGACATTCAGATATCTTATTCTCAGAGAGCATTTGACAACCTATCTAAAATAGCTCCCCCTCACTGTTCCTGCCCATGCTCTTTATACCCCATTTTACTTTCATCTTTCTTCCTAGTACTGACATTATATATTTGTTTACTGTCTATAGATCCCACCAGAAGGTACATACCATGAGGGCAAGCACCTTATCAACCATGTTTATCTCTGTAGCCCCAGAGTCTAGAATAGTACTATTCAAAAGACCTTTCTGTAATGATCAAACTGTTCTATATCTATCTGCACTGTCCAATATAGTAACCACTACCCACATGTAGCTGTTGAGCACTTGAAATGTGGCTAGGGTTACTGAGGAATTGAATTTTAAATTTTAATTAATTTAAGTAGCCATTATTTATTGATGCCCAATAAAGCTTTGAATAAATGCCTTATAAAGTATGACTGCATTAGTGTTTGGTTACAAACTCTAACCCTCACAGCAAAAGGATAAAAGCAATGAGACACACACGTAGAGAAAAAGTAGCAAGCAAGTCAAGCATTAAATGCAAAGCTAAGACACAATTTTTATAACATAATACTGACCCTGACACTACTAATACAGTACCCTAAAAACCACAGTAAATCAAAAAGCTAATGTTAAACTGTAATTTCATTTTAAAAACTAGCTATATCGGCCGGGCGCGTTGGCTCATGCCTGTAATCCCAGCACTTTGGGAGGCTGAGACAGGTAGATCACGAGGTCAGGAGATCGAGACCATCCTGGCTGACACGGTGAAACTCCGTCTCTACTAAAAATACAAAAAAAATTAGCTGGGCATAGTGGCAGGCGCCTGTAGTCCCAGATACTTGGGAGGCTGAGGCAGGAGAATGGCGTGAACTCGGGAGGTGAGCCAGGATCGCGCCACTGCACTCCAGCCTGGGCGACTGAGTGAGACTCCGTCTCCAAAAAAAAATAAATAAAAATAAATAAAAACTAGTTATATCAAGGATATAGCTAGCTAACTATTAAGAATACATACAGTAGTAGTTCAACATGTGCACAAAATGTTAGAAATTGCTGCAACTAGATGGGGGTAGGCAAGTGCTTATTGTATTCCTTCTGAAGGTTTGACTTTAAAATAAAAAAGATAGGTAAGGGAATGCAAAAAAAAAAAAGAAAGAAAGAAAAGAAAAATAGTGCCAAGGTAATCAAATGTAAAACAACAATCTTTTCAACAAATAGTGCTGGAATAAATGGCTGTTTATATGAACAGGAAAAAAAAAAGATACACACAGTATTTCAGAAATAAACAACTTCAGTTGATTATTACAGAATCTGACTATTCAGCCACTGCATGTAAGACTTAATGTACCCTGAGACTTCTTTTCAAAGTAAGGATCAAAGCTTCAAATTACTAAAAAGTTTAAAAAAAAAAAAAAACTACCTGAATACAAGTGAAATTTCTTGACTTTTTGTAAATACTAGCAAACTAAATGCATTAAGCTGCAGCACCAACATGTAAAAGCAAACAGTCAGTAGTCCTAAGACTATATCTAACCGAGACATCAATTTACCAATAGAAAAATCTATACAGTTTCTGAGAGAAAAAGAGTTACAATTCAGCTTGTGGTGTGTGATCTGACATCAATGCCAAGCAATGCTATTTGGTTCCTCCTAAAGATTAGGCTGTGGCCAGGCAAAGAGGCTCATGCCTGTAATCTCAACACTTTGGGAGGCCAAGGTGCAAGGATATTTAAGGCCAGAAGTTCAAGACCAGAATGTGCATTTTAATGTCATTTTGTATAGAATGCTACTAACAATCTATCATTTTGTATAGATTGTACCAATGATGTACATTTTTATACTCTGTCTCTAAGATAATGGTTCCTTTTTAAAAAATAAATAAATAAATAATGGTTCTTATCAAGTTATTACAAATCTGCCAAGGTGAATTAGAGCATTCTACCAGTGGATGTTTTTAAATATTATTCCTATCTGAATTTATTTATTTCAGCTTTATACAGTATCTCAATTTGTATTCTGATCTTCAACAGTCTACGCAGTCTTTTAAACTTACCATTATATGTTAATGAGCTGCTAATAAGCCTAGTCATGTTATAATAGCACAAAATAGTTCTAAAGCATACTATTTTAAATATCCATAAAACTAAAGCAGTATTTAGATCCTTTGTTAGTGTTATCCAGATAAGATGACCCAAAACTAGCATAATTAATAAATTTTCAGATTTTGAATTTTGGTCCTACTAGTCTATCTAAATACAAATGCTACTAACAAAGCAGTAACAAAAGTTTACTAGTGCTTATATGTAATCAAACACCGAAGAAGCTTGGAATTTTTACTTCTTGGCTCTCTAAAAATGAAAAAACTAGGCCAGGCGTGGTGGCTCACGCCTGTAACCCAACACTTTGGGAGGCTGAGGCGGGTGGATCACCTGAGGTCAGGAGTTCAAAACCAGCCTGCCCAACATGGTAAAACCCCGTCTCTACTAAAAATACAAAAAATTAGCCACGCATGGTGGCGGGCACCTGTAAGCCTAGCTACTCAAGAGGCTGAGGCAGGAGAATTGCTTGAACCCAGGAGGTGGAGGTCTCAGTGAGCCAAGATCGTGCCACTGTACTCCAGCCTAGGCAACAAGAGCGAAACTATGTCTCAAAAATAAAAAGAAAAGAAAAAACTAGCACTCAAAGTCCATGTTGAATATTACTTTTTCTTTTTTATAGGACATCTTAAGGACTTTAGCATTACTTTTATTTTCTATCTGAACCTTTCAGATGATCATAGATCAAGACTGTAAGTACTATATACTTTTTTTAAAGGAGCTATATACATTCTTACTGTCTCTAGCCTACATCACAAATTAACTGCCATATGAGAAACAAGCTTTGCTTTCTCAAAATCTTACATTATAGCCCTATTATTAATTTTTTGCCAATGTATGCAATGAATCATAAAACAAAGTCTCAAAACCGTAATCAATAAAATGCCATCTTATTTGAAAAAGCAATTGACAAAACATTCCTACAGATGATGAGTTAACAGCAATAGAACACGCTCTTAAAATATACACCTTACTACAACTCTATAATGCTTTTCAAGACTATCAAATACTACTTAATTTATCCCGTCTTATGCACCATACTGACTCATTCTAAACTTCAACTTGAAATAAAAATAAAACAAAAACAAGAAAACTACCTTCTCAGTTTTATATAAACTTGAAGGATTCACACCTGCCTTATCAAAAGTCCTTACAGCAATTCTTCTGAAAACCAGATGCTTCTAGCTTTGAAGTCTTGCTTCTGTAGCTACCCTTTTCAAGTGTGTTACTGTATTGATTTAGCACCAACTTAATCTTGCAGCTTGTTCCTCCTTGGTTGCAAAGGAAAAGTGTAGCATACACTATGCACTACATTCACTATAGCACAACACTTAAAACAATTCAAGTCTGATCATGAGCTCTTCAGTTTTGTCCCTTTCTACTAAACCTGGCAATGTGGAATAAATTGAAAGAGACTACTTAATAAGCAACTTTTTAAACCTTGTAAGAGACCTTTCAGAAACTAGAATGTTCCTACACAATCAATCTGCCATAAACAATACACTGTAACACTACTATGAATTATAGCCAGTAAAAAACTAATGGAACCAAGCATGAGTTACGCATTTCACTTAAATATATATATATATATATTCACAGATAATAACTTCAGAAAACTAATTTGTAGTTTTGTGCAAAACAAACAAGTTTACAGTTAAACCCAGGGTACTTTTCAGAAAAATATATAACCAATTAGTAGTAATGAGCTGATTTCGAATCTTGCCATTTATGATAAAAGGCTATTAATACTAAGAAAATAAAGAACCATTAGTTCTCACCAATTTATGGGTTTCATCCTGTTGTTTAGAGAGTTTCCACAGAAGGGAAATAATATTAAGAACTTGCTGCATAACCTGTAGAGGTTCTCGTTCTATACCATTCCCAACAGGAGTAGCTAGTTGTGGAGGTACAGCTTCAACCCAGCATTCAATTAGCAATGGAATTATTATCTCAATAAATCCTTTCAGGTTTTCAGTAGATGACAGGCCTTCATCCACACCACTCAGTCCTCCAACCAGATACCTAATAAGGGTAAGAAAGAAAAAAATTAAGTGATTAAAAAATGTTTATTATCCCTTGCTAATTTAAATCTTAAATATAAAGTACTAGTAAAATGAAGCACCATGAACTGATAATTACATCAATCAAAACTAGTAAGAAAAATGAAATTCTAAGATGACAAAGCCAAAAGATATTATCAAGTTTTATTTCTCAAAGGCTTTGCTATAAATAAATTAACATACAAATAACTCTTCCCATCAGTAAATAAAATCAAATCATGAGTAACTATATGAAAACTATGAAAGACAACTGCATGTCTTCCCACCAACAGTCATCAATGGTTAGCAGTTATAATTCAATACAGCAAAACTGTGTGGACATAACTGAAATCCTTCTTACCGTAGCCTGAACTGTGAACTGACATTTGGCTGTGAACCCCCATTTTCATAAACCTGGATGTGTTGCTGGTCGTTGGCATGTTCCTTCCAGTTGATAAAAATGGAGTTGCTAGTGGCATGGGGATTTTCTTTCTGTTCCTGAAGTCCTTCACTTTCTCTCAACCTACTGGATCCATCTGCCAAGGCCTGAAGGAATTTACTGAGTCTCACTAAGACTTTCAGCCTCCATTGCTGAGAAGTGAGTCTCCGATTAGGATTTACAGAAAGTATCCAGGACTGGGATCTGTCTCTATTTATCAGTCCTTTGGACAGCTGCTGATGAGAAATAAGTTCTACAAAATTCTTAAGCAATATGCTGCTACGGCCAGTAATTAGAGCTGGGTACTGTTCCAGCAGAATGTCCAAAACTTTTAAAGAGTCCTCCTGAATTCCTTCAGTAATGTGAGTCATGGCACTAGAGAGATGGGCACTTACCAAAGGAAAAAATGGAGAAATTTGTTCAGCTCGTATTTTGGGGGCCAGGAATTGAAGAAGTTGAACTGCTGCTAATCGTACATTAGCATCTTTATCTGTAAACACAGCAGTCACTTCACTTAATATGTTTGAAAGGTGTGCATCAATTATAAATGGGTATTGAGACAAAAGGTCTTTAAGTCCAAGAAGAGCACTTTGTTTAACCCCAGCATTGTAGTGATGCATCTGTGACAGCAAATCCTATAAATAAAAATACAAATTTTAGATGTATACTTATATACATGTATCAATTTCACGTAAACATGCTAACTAACACTACACTAGTAAACTGACACTCCTTGGGGAAACTGCTTCAATAAGTACTTTTTAAATGTTATTTAGCTTTTGTTAGGATCAGAAACAGAAAAATACTTTCAGCTTAATAAAAACATTGCATAATTTTCAGTTGGAATTTTCTCTCTTTACATTAACCTACATGCAGGCTTAGGCGCTCTATGATATAAAGTGACAGCAATCACACCATCATTTATTGAAAACCTACTAGGTACCAAACATCATGGAAGGTGTATATATATACTCTTGACAGGCCGTTTCTGCCTGTTTCAAATGGGCTTTCACAGGGTGTTTGTGTTTTATTCAGAGTATACTACCTGACAATTTTATCTGTGGAATAATTTATGTAACCTTTGGGAAAAAAAAAACTTTAAATAACTCTTTAGTATTATTTAAACTTCAGAGCTTAAAAAGCAAAACTCGAAAAATGTATATCCTCACAAAGACCTACACACAAATATTCATAACAGCATTATTCATAAGAGCCAAAAACCAGAAACAAACTAAATGTTCATCAACTGCTGAGTGATCAACAATATGTGACCTAATCATGCAATGAAATACAATTCGACAATACAAAGGAATGTACCACTGTTCTGATATATGCTACAAGCTACATACAACCTGGAGGAACCTCCAAAACACTGTGCTAAGTAAAAGGCCAGTAACAAAAGGCCATGTATTATATGATTTCATTTATATGCACTTTCTAGAATAAGCAAATCTATAGATATCAGAGGTAGATTAGTGATTGCCTAGGGCTGGAAGAAATGAGAAGTGATTCCTAATGGGTATAAGTTTTCTTCTTGGAGTGATAAAAACGTTCTAAAATTAGATTAAGGTGATAGTAGCATAACTCTGTAAATATACCAAAACCAATGAATTGTATTCTTTAAATGAGAGATTTTAATTATGTGTAAATTATATCTCCATAAAGCTGTTAGATTCTTAAGCAACACTTCTCAAACTTCAATTGACTTCAAGTATTTACTACAAACCTATAATAAACTATGTGCTGTATGGGTTCAAAAATGAATGACAGGATTGTATCTTAATTCGCTAAAAAACAGCTAGAAAACTGTTCATCAAAAATTTGACACATCAAAAACATGTAAGAATTATTTCCAGATACAGCCAGGTGCCGTGGTTCACGCCTACAATCCCAGCACCTCAGGAGGCCTTGGCTGGAGGATTGCTTGCATCCAAGAGTTTGAGACCAGCCTGGGCAACATATTGCAACCTTGCCTCCACAAAAAAATAAATTAGCCAGGCATGGTGACGCTCGCCTGCAGCCCCAGCTACTTGGGAGGCTGAAGTAGGAGGATCACTTGAGCCCAGAAGGTCCTGGCTGCAGTGAGCCATGATAGCACCCCATTGTGCTCAACATGGTGTAAGAGTGAGACCTGTCTCAAAATAAATAAATAAATAAATAAATAAATCATCAAATAAATATACCAGGGAGAAACAACTGTGCATTTAGTTTAGCGAACGTTTCTGGAGGAAGTGGAAAGACACAGCTGCATGAGAGATCTTTGGGTAAAAGATAAACTCCAAACATCAATAAACCCTAAGACCCTAGGCAAACTATTTACTCTAAGAGTTTAGACAAATTTTCACAAAAATATAACATTCTACACGATTCCAAAGAAAATCTTATTTTGTCAAAACATGATTTATGATTTACCTTTATGTTAAGTTTTCTATTGTTTGTTGGAAGTGTTCCATCCTCTTTGAGTTGCTCAGGCAGATGTATAGTCTTTGTTTTAAAGTTTGTAGGAGTAGCATTTTGTAACTTGGGCTTCTTTTTACCAACTTTCAATTTTACTTTTTGAAAATCATGTTGGCGTTTTCTTTTTTTAGTCATTCTCGACTACTATAATGAAAAGAATTAATTAAAAGCAATGGATAGAGACAAGAATAAATTATGAAAAAAGGCACTTTCCAACACATACTACTGTAACATTTATTTCAATCGTAATCAAGAATCTGATTATGCTGAAAGATCAAAATATTAAAAAATGCTGTTAAGAACTATTAAAAACTCAGTTTAGTGATAAAATACTGTAACAAGGCAACAGTCTTGCCACGGTTTTGCAAAGTTTTTTGGGTCACAGAACCTTTTGTCAAGCTATATGCTAAAGGGAAACCTTCTGAAATGTGTTTTTTTTTTGTTTTCCTTTGTTCGAGTGTAGGAGAGCAGCACAGACTTCCTAGAGATGTAACTTGTATCTGCTGGTGTGCTCCTGGGCTTCGTAAGAGCCTCGGAGGAACTTCTCTAGCAATACCAAACAAAGTTGGAAAACCAATGTTATTCTTTAATGCAGCCTATAACCATTAGAAAAAGATTTATGAACCTAAGCTGAGCATGTGAAAAATGGGTAATATTCAAATACACAGCAAGGAGAATAATAGGCCTTTCAAGAGCAAGGAAAACAAGGTAAAGATCAGGTGTAGGGGATAAACCTAGCACAGCAAAAGTGAATAAACCTCAGACTAAACAGAAAACAGTATTCCCCCTTGGTCCCCAAAAAGGATAAAAAGCAGCATAAAAAGAAATATAATGTAATAGGGGGATAAGGAACAAAGACCAGCTAAGCCACTATTATAATAAATAACTCAGGCATAACACCATGCCATCTTGTACTTCCTCCCCCTCTATACCACATTCCAAACCTTGCACTTACACATGAAATCTTTGATCTGTGTCTCTTACCCATTTCCAGGCCACTACTTTCAAGAAGTCCTTTATTTCTACCATTCAATACCTTCCCCACTGGTACTCCTGCCTACTATCTAGTGTCTCCTCTCTAGTCCACTGGCCCTTTACGAAACAGCTCTCTCTGAACACAGATCTCATGACCAAGACTCAAGAGTTCTCAGCTGTTCTATTCCTCATACATAGTAAAACCTCCTTAGCAGGACATATGAGGTCCTTCCTAATGTGGCCCCATCCATCCTCTCCAGCTTTATCTTCCCACAAGCTAATCTCTATCTAAAACAATAGCCTCTTCTACCTGGAACCAGCTAAATTCTTCTTGAAGCCTTTTCCACACCTGAGAACAATACTGTACACCACTTGAATAGGGTAAGTACCTCTGGAATATATAAAACTTCTGCTAATCTCCTGGTTTATCATAATTATCCTGTGCCTGGCCATAAAAAGTGACAATGCTACACATGAGGGTATAAAAAAATGGGTAAAACGAAAGTTTCCTTTATTACAATATTAATAAAATGGCCAGTGCAATACTGAACAGCTCAAGTTCAAGGAATTCAGAAGCCAATCAGCTATGACAATATATCCAAATTTACTTAATTACAGGGTTATATTAGATCGCCATGAGGTAGGATTTCCCACAGGTTAAGAACCAATTCTACAACCAGATTGATTAGGCTTTTATCCAAACTCTGACGCCTTCCAGCTGTACACTGTCCCAATTTCTATCTACAAAATAGGGATAATCATACACAATTGTAAAACACTCAGAACTGTGCCTGGTACATGGTTAAATACGTATGCTCAAAGCATAAACATGTGCGTGTCCCTCAAGTCTCAGGATCAGGACATACCAAGCCCGGTACTAGATGCATTGTGTACCTCAGTATACAATCTGCACAGAACCATGCAAGGTAGGTGGAACTAAACCCATTTTAACAATGTACCTCAGAAAAGTTTGGAAGTCACGCCTTTATCAAGAAGTTGAAAAGGGATTCATTCACAGAACTGAGCTCTGCAAAACCACCTTTAACATACCAGAATTAACCTGAAGACTGGAAGTCTTCGTGGCAAAACAGTTTGGCTTATTTCATTTGTCCCTATTACCAAATTTTCATCTCACCCACACCTCTAGTTACCTTAGTCTTAAAAAACAAAACAAAACAAAAAAAAAAGCTGGGGGTCGGTGGGTGGGTGGGTGGGAGGGAATAAGGCCTAAAAAGAAGGCCATGATACTCACCTGGCCTCTTTTAATACAAAAATGGTTTTCATTAATTAAGCAAGCACACTTTGTGAGCTTTTCCTACAATTTTATTACTAGCTGGTACTAGACACGAAAGTAAATGGTACAGGACATTCAGAAAAATTAACTCCCTTCCTCCTCCACTCCTGTGGGTTCTATTTAGCCATTAACCACCTGATAGATCTTCAACAGTCTACTGTCAACTTCATGCCATATTATCTATCGCTTTGTATTAGTCACATTAATGCTTTCTCTGTTAGGAAAATTAAGAAGGCTGATTGACCTTCCTTGACTTTTCAAACCTAGTAATATTATTACGGGATACAAAGCATTTTCATGCGAAGAACTCTCAAAGTTCTACTAGTAATTGACTTTAACTTATAACAAAGATTTTCATAACACAGCAAATCAAAAAGTCCCACTAAGCCACTTTTACAGTAGCCGGTTTTTAGCAAAAGGTAGGAACGCCAGTCTCAGAGGAGGAGCTCACATCACTAGTCCTTAGGTTTGCGATCCCCAATAGTTTCAAAGCTGAATGTCACACATTCCTACTGTAGGTCTTTTCTAATTCCAACAAAAGGCAGATCCTAGCGTTTTTAGGATTTCAATCGAACTAAATTCCAACTATAAATAGTTTGCCTGCCACCTTCTTACCCTTCCTCATTTCCACCTTCTTTTCCAAAAAAAATCAGAGAGAACGATCGTACTGCACTCGGCCTTTGATAATTTCCTCCCCAAACCCTTAAACTCATGAGTTCCTCCAAACTCCACTGAGGGGCCAACCAGAGGCGACAGACTTCCCAAAAAGCAAATGGCCCAGGCAGGGGCGACCCCAGAAAACTGGTAGTCCCCTTCCGCTCGCTTAACTCTCCCGCCTGGGCGACCAGAGGACGGAACAGGGGACGCCAGCTCATCCCCACTCCGTATTCGGTCCTGCATCCATCCCAGAGGCGAACACACCATGGGTTTTAGGAAACCATCGTTCCTCCTACTCCAAGGGACGCCGGCCAGGACCAGAGTCGGGGAAGTGGGGCCCGATTCACACACTCCGGGCTAAAACTCTCTCGGACCCGAAACCAGGCGAACCCGCCCAGTCACCTGAAGCTCCGCAAACGCCCTAGGGGGTCCCGCCCCCGCAGTGCCGGCCGCACACCCAGGCCCAGCTCGGAGGGACGCCGCGGCCCAGACCCGGGGGACGCAAATCGTGCACGGCCGACCCTGCCCGCTTGGGCCGCGGATCGGGGGGCGACGGCCCCACCACGCTCAGTCCCGCGCCCCGGGAGGACCCGGCCCGACGGGCGACGGCCGCTTACCTGAGGACCCGGCCGCGGCCGGGGCGAGAAGCCCGAGAAGACAAGCGAGGGAGCAGAAGCCCACGGGGCAACAGCGTGCGCCGCCGACCTCAGGCTCTAGCTCCCGGAGCGTGTTTTCAAATAGCCTCGTCCTCACGCGGCCGCGTCTCCTTCCGCCGCCCGGAAATCAGGGCCCCTCCCCCTCCCTGCTGTGCTCACGTGATCGCAGCCCGCAGCCGCGCGCAACCGGGGAGGCGGGAGCGGGAGCGGTAGGCCCCGCCCACAGAGGAGGGTACCCCGCCGGAAGCCCCCTGCTCTGTGGGAACCGGAGGGAGGACAGCGCGAGGTCCCCGGACAAAGCGTGGCGCATAAGTCCGGCCCGTAACTTGGTGGGCAGGCAACTTAGGGGATGTGGGCCTGGTTATAGCTGAGCATGCTTTTCTATTCCTCCCAGACCACAGTTCTTCAGACCTGGAGCCACTTTCAGAGAAGAGTATAAGTTGCACTGAATTGAAAAAGGGAAAAGTTTAGGACTGCAGAAGATGGAATTCCTGGGGACGTTAAACTGGGCTAAGATGGAGCAGATAAGATTTCCTTAATTAGAGCAAGACACACCTAGTATCTAGAGCCTGGAAGTCTTGGTCAAGGATTCTCCCTAACATCTCAGTTTCTCAGCACTAACATTCCTGCTACTAAAATGAAGTGAGAAATTAATTTCTGAAGTTAAGTAAAGAAATAAACTAAAATTCCTAGAAAAGAGGTAAGAAGAATGAGCCTTTGAAAAATGTCTTCACAAAGACTGGCATGATGGCATGGAAGAAAGAGCCCCAGGTAAGGACTTCAGACCTTGATTCAAATTTGTGTCTACACCTCACCAGATAATTAAGACTTAGTAAAGCTAGCGAAGATATTGACCCTCATTATATTGGGTGGGAATTCAAAGGAATGATGTCTAAATCCAGGGAGACCCAAGCACTGGAACTAAAACCATGCCTGTTCCATAATCGGAGATAAAGAGGCAGCGCTAGAAACCCTGACCTCCCTTTGCTGGCAATATGGCCACATCACCACAATCTGCCTGGAATCGACCATAACCATAAATATTTGGGAGTCATTGGCATTATGTGGCATTATATTCTGTTTAAAGCTATGAGACTAGATCAGAAGAGGAAAGATTTATTGCCAACCAGACAAGTCCCTGGAACTCCAAACTTGTATCCAACAGTTTTTTCAATGTTTCCTTCAGATATCCAGTATACATCTCAAGGTCAACTTGTCCAAAACAGAGCTACTGATGATTTTCCCCTTGAAATCTACTCTTCCTACAGCTTATTCATCTCAAATAGTAAGTCTGTCCTTGCAGTTACTCAAGCAGAAACCTTTGGGTTTTTGGTTTGGCCTCTTTGTTCCACACCTCACATCTAATCCATCTGGAGATTGACTCTACCTTTAAAGACATCCTAACTTTCACCAGTTAACACACCTCCCCTGCTACCATTCTGGTCCAAGCCGCTTCTTGATCACTGCAAAAAGCCTGCAAACACATCTTCCTGCTTCCCTTATTGTCCTTCTTCCCCCTACAGTCTGGTATCAGCAGAGCAGCTGTGTGATTATTTTAAGATCTAGGTTAGATCAGATCACTCTTTGGCTCAAAACCCTTTAATGGCTCCCTATTTCACTTCGAGTAAAACCCAGAGTCCTTTCTAGGGCCTTCCCTTAGGCTGTTCTTGCATGGCTATAAAGAAATACCTGAGACTGGGTAATTTACAAAGAAAAGAGGTTTAATTGGCTCATGATTCTGCTGGCTTTACAGGAAGCATTATGTTGGCATCTGCTTGCTTTTGGTGAAGTCTCAGGGAGCTTTCAATCATAGAAGGTGAAGGGGGAACAGGCATGTCACATGTTGAAAGCAGGAGCAAGAGAGAGAGCAAAAGAAAAGAGACAGAGAGAGAGAGAGGTGCCACACATTTTTAAACAGCCAAATCTGATGAGAACTCACTATCACTAAACAAGCACCAAGCCATGAGGGATCCACCCCCATGACCCAAGCATGTCCCACCAGGCCCCACCTCCAGCATTGAGGATTACAACACAACATGAGATTTGAGCAGGGACAAATATCCAAACCATATCAGTTCTCAAGCTCTTCCATATTCTGACACAGTCTCTTACCATCTGAGCACTCCTCCTTCCACTCTCCCCTTTTTTACTCTGCTCCAGTCACACTTGCTTCTTTGCCTTCCTCAAACACCAGTGACACACTCCTGCTTTTGGACCTTTTCTTTAGCTTTTCTGTCTGCCTGAAACACTCTTCCCCAATAAGTCCATGTGGCTAACTCCCTCTCCTCCCGAGTCCACTCAAATATCTTCTCAGGGAGCCCTACCCTGACCACCTCATTTAAAATAACAAATTACCTTCTCCCAGGACTTGCAATTTCCCTTTAGAACATATCACCTTCTGGGAACATCACACTCTGGGGACTGTTGTGGGGTGGGGGGAGGGGGGAGGGATAGCTTTAGGAGATATACCTAATGCTAAATGACGAGTTAATGGGTGCAGCACACCAGCATGGCACATGTATACATATGTAACTAACCTGCACATTGTGCACATGTACCCTAAAACTTAAAGTATAATAATAATAAAATAAAAAAGAACATATCGCCTTCTAATATACCATGTAATTTACTTATTTATCATAATGATTATTTGATTCTGTCCTTCATCCACCACTAATATGTAAGTTTTACATGGGTCGTTTGTTTTATTCCCTGGTATATTCCAAGTAGCTAGAGCAGTGTCTGGCACCTAGTAGGCCCTCAATAAATATTTGTTGAATAAATGTCTAGGAAGCACCTGCTACATAGCGGTGCTGAGCAAACACTAGCTCTTATTGTTTCCCTACTTCACTGCAGCACAGGGTTTATAGACTCAGCCCATTAAGTGGGTCTGGTGGCTATGTAGCTGACAGAAGTACTCCTGGCCTGACTAAAGGAAGCAGCAGATCTTCAGCAACAGTCAACTGTTGTCATGAGGAAATGCAAATCTTCTCATTTTTCAAGCAAACCGGAAATCCAGTGTTTAAGTCCATTCTCTGCTGCTATAACAGAATACCACAGACTGGGTAGTTTACAATGAACAGAAGACTATTTGGCTAATGCTTCTGCAGCTGAGAAGTCCAAGAGTGTGGCATCAGCATCTGGTGAGGGTCATCCATACCATGACAGAAGGGTAGAAGGCAGAAGTGAGCTCTAGAGACAGAGAGAACAAATCAGGTTGAATTCATCCTATTTGTCAAGAGCTCACACCCAGGATAACTAACCCACTCCCACAATAACAATTATCTATTCATGAGGGCAGAGCCCTCATAACCTAATCACCTCTTAAAGGTCCGGCTTCTCAATACTGTTAGAGTGGCAATTAAATTTCAAAATGAGTTTTGGAGGGGACATTCAAACCATAACATCCAGAAATGTTTATAAGAAATCTGCTCTTTAAATATTGGCAAGTACATTTTTCCCCCTATTTTCGAAACACTGTGTAGGCCAAACAAAATACTTATTGCCAGTTGCCAGTTTACTGTCTCTGGTTTAGGACATAAAAAGTTTGTACTTGAAGACAGGCTTTTTCCAACTCTTAAGTGATGAACGCAACAATTGTAAGGATTGATCACTTCCCGAGCTTGAAGAGATCTTTGATAAATAACAAGCATGTAATTAATCAAGGTCCTTCACCCATGCCAGAAAAACATTATTTACAACGAACATACATTCTGGAATGTGTAGGACACTCCAATTCCAAAACTCTGTCCAGTTGGCCACATAGGTGCTGTGTTTAGTTTCCGCAGCCATAACAAAGTACCACAAACTGGGTAGCTTAAATAACAGAAATTTCTGGATCTCAGTTCTGGAGACCATGGAATCTGAAATCAAGGTATCAGCAGGATTGGTTCCTTCTGAGGATTCTGAGGAAGATTCTGTTCCACACGTCTCTCCTAGCTTCTGGTAGCTTTAGACATTCCTTGTAGACATTCCTTCTGTGTCTTCACATTGTCTTCCCTTGTGTATATCTGTCTGTGTTCAAATTTACTCCTTTTATAAGAACCCCAGTCATAGGGGCTGCCCTAATTACCTCATTTTAACTTGATCACTTCTCTAAAGACCTTATTTCCAAATAAAGTCACCTGAGGTACTAGGGGGTAGAACTTCAATATATCTTTTTGGAGGACACAATTCAACCCATATGAGCCACCAAGATCTGTGTCCAGAAATGTCTGTATTTCATCATCCAAACGCTTTGTCCTTTTTGTCTATGCTCAGACACATCACGATATTCTAGGTTAAGTAACTTCCTTCTACGTAATCTACCCAACCTTTGCAGCTTTCCTTTAAAATGTGTTTCATACTGGGCTTCCAGCATTTGCTTTGGGAATAAGGTATCACTGCTTTAAAAAAAAACCTGAAACGTTGTTAACCTAATAAAAATTGACTTTATAATTTCAAAGCAAACAAAAGCATATACATATTAAACTGGCTCTTACCTTACATTTTAGAGCTACTACTAACACAAAAAGCAGTCTCTTTGAAGAAGCTGAAATGATGAGTTCAAACATGATACTATAACCAGGGGCACATTGTCTAGGAATTGATTGGTATTATATATACAAATGACTTGGCACACAGCCTCAATAGCCCCTCAATAAATGGCAACAGATATCACTACTGATAATGCATCATTGGGCATTATTTGCACTATATGTGCAAAATCAACATTTAGTTGGGCTTCTTAGATAAAGTAACAGAAAACCAGTTCTGACATTAAGTGAAAAGGAATTTATTGAAAGTATATTGAATAACACAGAGAATGGCCAGGGAGGCTACCAGTTCAGGCTTAGAAAAAAGACAGGAAGGAAAAGACCAGCAAGGCCAGGAGTGCAAAGACCATTACACCACAAAATCAGTCTAAGACAAAAGGATTAGAAATGAGGAAGTTAAATTATCTCCATTTGCAGATATAATTGTATATCCAAAAAAAAAAATCAACTGAAAACTTACTATAAACAATAAAAGAATTCAGAAAGGGGCCAGGCACGGTGGCTCACACTGTAATCCCAGCTGTTTTTGTATTTTATTTTTGTTTTTTGTATGTCACCTTTTTTTCTATAAAATTGTTTGGACCATGCAGCAGTGCCAGTCTCTCTCAACCTGTTTTGATTTGGGGAGCTGTGAATTGTTTTTTGTTTAACTTTGTTAAATTTAATCTGTCTAAATTTTGCTTTATTTTTGAAAGCTGGCAAATGAGAATTCCTGATGAAAGCTCTAAGACCTGCTGTGTCTATGTGTCTATATTTCTATAACTCAATATGTGTTACATGTATGTGATAATATTTGGGAAATGAAGCTAGTTTTAAAATAGTTGGTAAAATAAAATAATAATGACTTCAGAATTGTCAGTTCAATATAATTCAGACATTTTCTCCTGGATATATTCATCAGACAGGTTTATAATGTGTCTACTACATGTTTTAAGGTCATAACGTGGCTTCTTTGATTTTTGATACTTATTGGTTTGTCTGTAAGCTTTTGGTTTTGCTTTTGAATCTCTGGATTCTTTTGTTGGGACAGGTAGCTGTGGTAAGGGTTGGGGACATGTTCTTAGCAACTTGACCACCAGTTATAAGGCAGTCAAGCCCACTATAACCACTTCCTACCTGTTCCAGTTTTGCCCCCTGGCTATGTTAGAAGGGGTTGGATCCTCCAGGCATTGTCTTCACAGTTATCTTCTATCCTGAGCCTACCCCTGGTATGTAAGTTCAGGAACCAGATGGGCCCTGCCTTTCATAGCCCTTCTAAGTACCACATGCCTACTTAAGACCGAGGAAAGACGTTAGCGAAGATACCTGTGTCATAGTTTGAGTAATTAAAAATCTTAAAATCCTTGTTAAGTAAAGTAATAGATAATCATAAAATGGCTGAGTCACTTCTAAGTCACTTAAAATATTGAACAGTAATTATTAAACAAATTTAAATTTATGTACTTTGACATCTTATGGTATTTAAAAGCTAAATATATTTAGAACTGGTAAACAAAAATGTGAGAAAACAAATCTTTCTAAAAATTATAAAATGTTTTCATCTATAAACACTGATATAAAACTGCTCAAACTTCCTAAGTTTTCACTAGAAGTTAGGGTTACTAAGATAAGCACTTCTCAACAGAAGACATACACATGGCCAACATCAATAATCATTAGAGAAATGCAAATCAAAACTGCAATGAGATCACATCTCACATCAGTCAGAATGGCTACTACAAAGTAAAAAAATAACAGATGCTGGTGAGGTTGTGGAAAAAAGAGAGTGCTTATAAATTACGGGTGGGAATGTAAATTAGTTCAGCCACTATGGAAAGCAGTTTGCAGATATCTCAAAGAACTTAAAATAGAACTACCATTCAACCTAGCAATCCCATCACTGGGTATATACCCGAAGGGAAATGAATCATTCTACCAAAATGATACATACACACATATGTTCATCACAGTACTATTCACAATAGCAAAGGCATGGAATCAATCTAGATGCCCATCGACAGTGGATTGAATAAAGAAAATGTGGTATATATACATGAAGAAATACTATGCAGCCAGTAAAAAGAATGAAATCATATCCTTTACAGCAACATGGATGCAGCTGGAGACCATTATCATAAGCAAATTAATGCAGGAACAGAAAACTGAATCCTGCACGTACTCACTTATAAGTGGGAGATAAACATTGAGTACACGTGGATACAAAAAGGGGAACAATAGACACTGGGGTTTACTAGAGGGTGGAGGGTGGGAGATTGGAAAACTACCTACTGGGCACCATGCTTACTACCTGGGTGACAAAATGATTTCTACACCAAACCCCAGTGACATGCAATTTACCCATGTAACAAACCTGAACATGTACCCTCTGAAATGAGAAAAGTTGGAAGGAAAAAATAAAAGAAATTAAGGTTACTAAGAGTATACTAATTCTATATACAGAGTGTATAAGGAAAAGCAAGGGCTGGGTGTGGTGGCTCATGCCTGTAATCCCAGCACTTTGGGAGGCTGAAGTGGGAGGATTGCTTGAGCCCAGAAATTCAAGACCAGCCTGAGCAACATGGCAAAAACCTGTCTCTACAAAAAATTCAAAAATTAGCCAGGTGTGGTGGCATGTGCCTGTAGTCCCAGCTATTCCAGAGGCTGAGGTGGGAGGATTGCTTGAGCCTAGAAGGCTGAGGTTACAGTGAACCATGATCATGCCACTACCCTCCAGCCTGGGTGACACAGCAAGACTTTGTCTCAAAAAAAATAATAATAATAAAGGAAAAGATAGATGGGCTTTTAGTGAAAAACTTTGTAAAAACATGAAAATGGCCTTGGATGATGGGTACTACAAAAGCCCAGACTTCACCACTGTACAATTCATCCATGTACCCCAAAACCACTTGTACCCCTAAAGCTATTGAAATAAGAGACATAAAAATGTATGTTTATTGAGAAAAAGATAATTTCATCTCACTTAATAGTTACTTAAAGATTATTTCAAATTAAAAAAATTTAAAAGATATGATAAAGCTAAATATAAAAAGTGAAAACAATTCATTACAATATGTTATAAAAGGTTTGTAAAAATCTTGTGTAGTCAAAAGATGACTGAGATTAGATAATTTGGTTTATAAGGTTTTAGTAAAATTAACTTTAGTATTTATAATACACAAATACAAAAGTAAAATATGGCTTTCTCTTTTAAACAAAAATTTTCATGTAGTATTAATAGATAGTAAAAATTTTTGTTCACCTTATGAGTAAATGACAAAAAAAGACAAGAAGAGAAAAAGAGAGAAAGATTCTGTCTTATGCTATTTCTTAGATCTGTTAATTGTTTGGAAAACTCAGTACCCTCTCAAAGAATAAAGTTTTTGCTTTTTAAAACCTTTTATTGGCCAGGTGCAGTGGCTCATGCCTGTGATCCCAGCACTTTGGGAGGCCAAGGTGGGTGGATCTCGAGGTCAGGAGATCGAGACCATCCTGGCTAATATGGTGAAACCCTGTCTGTACTAAAAATACAAAAAAATTGGCCAGGCATGGTGGCGGGCACCTGTAGTCCCAGCTACTCGGGAGGCTGAGGCGGGAGAATGGCGTGAACCCAGGAGGCGGAGCTTGCAGTGAGCCGAGATTGCTCCACTGCACTCCAGCCTGGGCGACAGCGAGACTCCGTCCCAAAAAAAATAAAAATAAAAAAATAAAAAAAAACTTTTATCATTTTGGCTAAATGAATGACTGTTATTTTACAGTAACCTGTGATCCTATTTGGATTGTTTTAAACCTTTGACCTATTTGATGTTTCTCAAAATCAAATTTTGAATTCAAAATTCAGTCTTTTTGACCTGCAACTAACTTTGAGATACTACAGAGGGCTCTTACAACATCCAAAAGAGAGATAAATGGTTTGATATGTTAAATTATATGAAAAGTATTGTGAAATAAAGAATAAAGTTTAACGTTCTTCAAGTTATATTTTAATAGATATGTTATTAATATATGTTCCAAAATTATATGAGATTCCTAACATTCTGATATGTCTTGATATATTATCAGTCATAATTATAGTTATTATGTTAAATTATTGTAGGCCACAGAAATAACCAAATTTCCTTGTCAGTTGTGTCTTTACAACCATTTGAAGTCATTTCCACAGTTGATTACTTAATTCTGAAACAGTTTCTAAAAATTTTTCAAAAGCAAGTAAAATTCTAGTGTATTGTGTCTTCAAAGAAGTTCATGGAAAAGATAAAAAGGACCCTGACAAAACTTGCTTAAATACAGGTTTCTGATGACTTTAGAACCATATCATTTGGACTGGGTAAGAATTTCCTAAAACTCTTAAGAAAGAGACAGACTGGTTTATAAAACTGATAACCCAACCAGGACAAAAATTAGTTGAATACCAAAAAAATACTTTGCCAGATTTTCATGCTAAAGAAGCTGGTACTGAAATTGTTTAGATATGCAATTTGAATGAACTCCATGATCCACATCACATTACATATGATAACCCATCTAATAAACAATGGTAGGCACCTGAACTAGAAAAGCAAAAATAGAGTTTAAGAAGATGTAAATCCAATGTTAAGCATAGACTCAGAACCTAGATGGCTGCCTAGTTATTCCTGAGTATTTAAAGCTTTCATTATTAAAAGCTGTGCATTCCATGACTCTTAAGGAAGAAATAAGATGATGCAAATATGCAAATAGAATATATATTGACAGCCGGGCCCGGTGGCTCAAGCCTGTAATCCCAACACTTTGGGAGGCTGATGCAGGCGGATCACGAGGTCAGGAGTTCAAGACCAGCCTGACCAACATGGTGAAACCTCGTCTCTACCTAAAATACAAAAATTAGCTGGGTGTGGTGGCACACACCTGCAATCCCAGCTACTCAGGAGGCTGAGGCAGGAGAATTGCTTGAACCTGGGAGGTGAGGTTGCAGTAAGCGAAGATCGTGCCACTGCACTCCAGCCTGGGCAACATAGTGGGACTCTGTCTCAAAAAAAAAAAAAAAAAGAAAGAAAGAAAAGAATACACATTGGCATGGTGACTATTCTAAATTGCTAAAATTGTTTATGACCAATGTTTGGTTTCTTAAATTCATAATCCTGGAAAGACAATCAGAATTTCAGGTACATGTTTTCTACCTGATGGGCCATGTAAACAGTTATAGAAGAATTTTACTCACTTTTCATTTTCAAGGCATCTTTTCTAGTTGTTTTTATAAAAGATTTCCCGTGCAAGGGCGCTGATGTTATAACAATAGATAAAAGGTTATTTTAAAAATTTGTTTCCCTCCTGGGTTGTTCCTGAAGAAATCTCCAGCAAAAAACATACTTGTTTCACTGGACAAGTTGTAAGATAGTTAAATAAGGTGTTACAGATACAGTAACATTAGACAAAGCTAACTGAGTTGACTAGATTGCCTTGGTCAAAGATATTAGAGTTTAATGACAATCAGATCTACTTCCAGTGAAAACATAAGTTGACCTCTTACACAATAGTCACTAAAAGGCCTATGCTTCTAATAATAAAACTTCAAATATCTTCTGTTTCTAAATTCTGATATAACTAAATGCTACAAGGTTTTAATGCGCATGTGTTTGGATATTTGTACCCTCCAAATCTCATATCGAAATATGATTCCCAATGTTAGAGGTGGGGCCTGGTGAAAGGTGATTGGATCATGGGGGCGGATCCCTCATGAATGGTTTAGCACAATCTCCTTGGTGATAAGTGAGTTCTTGCTCAGTTAGTTCACATGCAATCTGATTGTTTGAAAGTCTGGGACCTCCCTCTCACCTTGTTCTCCCTTACTCCCTCTGTTGCCGCGTAATATCCTGGCTTCCCACTTTGCCTTCCACAACTGTAAGTTTCCCGAGGTCCTCACCAGAAGCCAAGTAGATGTTGGCATCATGTTTGTACAGCCTGTAGAACCAAGAGCCAATTAAACTACCTTTCTTTAAAAATTACCTAGTCTCAGGTATTCTGTTATAGTAATGCAAATGGATTAATGCAAATGCATTATGCCTAATATGGTTTGGATATGTTTCTCCTCCAAATCTCATGCTAAAATGTAATTCCCAGTTAGAGATGGGCCTGGTAGAAGGTGTTTGAATCATAGGGGTGGATCTCTCATGAATGGTTCTGCACCAGCCCTTTGGTGATAAGTGAGTTCATGCAATATCTGATTGTTTAAAAGTGTGTGACAACACCCCTGCTTGCCCCCACTCTTGCCATGTGATGTGTCTGCTCTGCCTTTGCCTGTCACCATGACTGGAAGATTCCTGAGGCCCTCACCAGAAGCTGATGCTGGCACCACACTTCCTGCTCACCCTGCAGGAACCATGAGTCAATTAAATCTCTTTTCTTTATAAATTACCCAGTTTCAGGTATTCCTTTTCTTTATAGCAACACAAGAACAACCTAACACAATGCCCAAGTGTATTTTCACTAGATAAAGAAAGCTTTTTGTGGTCCACGGACTGAGGGCAATCTAACCCTTCATGGATCTAAAACCCAGAGATTGGGTCTTTTGGAAATGATCAGAGAAAGACTGCCCTTGCCACTCACACTGCAGCAAAACTTTGGAACCTTGAAACTTGGGTTTGTAATCTCACAACTCAGAAAGGCCCCTTCCCACTCTGGGAACTATACACCCATTAGACACCTTAAGGCAAAGCTAACCTTCCAGGTCCAACCCACAGACCCTGACCCAGTGAAAGATAAAAGACATACACTGACACAGATATTTTGCCCGTCAGCACAGCTAAGGGGCTCTGCTGCCTGAGTCCACAGCGTCGGCCTTGATAATTCTCGAAGTTCACGTTTATTTAGTACAGATTTAATGACAAAGGCTTTGAGTTAACACACTTGTGGATAATTAACGTGGTTGTCCTCCCAGGAAAGACCAGACCTATGAATGATCAAAGGTCGGTCTTAGGACCACATGAGTAAACAAGCTCTTTAGGTAAACTCCTTTACATTCCTTTATACCTACTCTAAGCTATTAACTCAAGGTAAGAGGATTAGGCCACTCTCAGCCATAACCTATCTTGAGGCTTTTGCAAAACCTTCCGGCCTTCCAAGAAGGTTTGTGTCTATTTTACAATTTCTCCCACCACCCTGACTGAACTACATCTCCACCTTTTCTGTTTTTAGCATCAGGTTTCGTTGATTAGAGAGTACAGATGTGTGCAGCAACAGGTCTGTCAGGTGCGGTGGTCACTGCTCATATTCTGGCTTTGCATCTTAGAATTAGTAAATAACATAAAACAAACATGAGTATAATTAGCAATATTCTTTTCTAATCAAGGAGTGACCTGTAGTGTTACCTGGCACTTCAGTTCGATGTGTGCCGTTACTAAGGAACCCCACTGGGGGTATGTTAATCCCTCTTAGTTAAGCAGTCACGTTGTTGGAAGCTGGGAAGAGGGTGTTTGTCAAAGTAACAGGGCAGAAGAAAGGCAGATTTAAGAGATGAGCCCAATAGAGTGTAGCAGGTACTGGTTGCAGGCAGAGTGAGAAAATTAAAAAAGGAATAAATTATTTGGTTGTGAATGGTGTTTGTGTTTGGAGCAGGATGCGCTTCACCTTCTGAGTTGTTTTCTTCGGCATCCTGTCTGGGGCCTGTGTTGTCCAAGGAAGCCGCATTGTCCAGGGCTGTGGGTCCTGTAGGGTCATTTTCTTTATTTCTGGTACTGGGTTGGGTCCTAGCCACGCCATGGTATGGTTTGATGCATCGTGCTAAAATCCAAAGAGGACCTGAGGGGGTGTAACACAAGCATATCCTCTTCCCCATGTTAGCAAATCATTTGGACCACACTATTCATTACTATTTACATCCTTCCATAAAACTGTGGGTTTTGTCTTGAGAGGTTTTAGCAAAGTGCTTTTCTATAGCTGATTGAAATTTGTCATCTAAATTTAAAAAATTAAGGGTAAATAAGGCTTGTGCTAGTTGTGTTCCAGGGTCCTTACCCATACTCCCCCTTTTGGTTTTCTGAGCATATTTTTAAGGGTAGAGTGGGCCTGTTCTATGACCTGTCCTTGGGGGTTATACGGGATGCCTGTGGAATGCTGGATGTTCTGTGTGTGATAAAATTGTTGAAATTATGAGCTGGCATAAGCTGGACCATTATCAGTTTTAATTTTTGTGGGCCGCCCCATAAATGCAAAAGTTAAAAGACGATGTTTAATGACATATCCAGTGGACTCTCCAGGAAGAGCGTGTGCACTAATTAGATGAATGTTGGTATCAACGGATACATGTACATATCTTAGTTTTCCAAATTCAGGGACGTGTGTAACATGTTTGCCATAACTGATTAGGTTCTAGTCCTCTAGGGTTAACACCTGTAGAAGAAGGGGACGTGCCTGTGAGCTGGCAATCTGGGCATTGCAGGATAATTTGTTTAGCTAGTCTTTGGGTAAGTTGAAATTGTTTAGTTCAGTTTCTCCAATTTTGGTGGAAAAGTTGATGTGATTGGGTGGCTTGGTCAAGCAGTGATGTCATAACTTTTAGGTCTGCTTGATCATTGCCATAAGCCAATGGGCCAGGCAGTGAACTGTGGGCCTGAATGTGTGTAATAAAAATAGGATTTGTACGTTGATCTCGCAATTGCTGAAGCTGGAGAAAAAGTGCACACAGGATGGGCTCTAGAGTAGACCTAGTTAGGGCTGTCTCAGGTTCTGCAATAAATAGAGTAAGTAGAGTCACTAACAATATTGATGAGCTGCGCAGAAAAAGTTTCCAAGGCCAATATTAAGGCTCCAACCTCAGCTCTCTGAGTGCTAGTAAATCCAGAACAAGTGAGGAAATTATGTGTTCTCCACCAAACAGCCACCTTTCCATGTTTACCAGAGCCGTCGGTAAACAGTGTTAAAGTGTTAGGTATGGGGGATTGAAATTTTTGTAGGCAAAACCATAGAAGTACGAGATAAGAACTGAAGGAGCTTGTCAGCAGTAAGCATATGTTCTAAATGGCCTGTGTAATCAGAGAGTGCTGTCTGAAGATCTAAAGAGAGGGGCAATACTGCTTCAAATGGCTTTTTACTCAAAGGAATTCTTATGACATCAGGGTCATAACTTAGCAACTGATTGCATAGTCTGCGGCCTGAATAGATGACTTTACTGACTAACTGGATATAGGTCGAGTGTGTTTTAATCCTGGTATGTGAGCAAAAAACCCATTCTAGAAAGCGTAGCCCTGGGGCCATCTGTCCTATTAACCCTGTAGGGGAGTGTTTATTAGGGAAAATAAACAATTGGATGGAATATTGGGTGTCTATGCGAACTAGTTGCCTTTGGGAAATAGCTTGTTCTATTTCTTCAATTTCCCTTTGTGCTGCAGGAGTTAAATATCTGGGAGAGTCCAGGGCTGTATTGCCCTTTAAGATACAAAACAGGTTTTGCAACTTATCAATAGATACGCCCAAGGTGGGGCGAAGCCAGTTAATATCGCCCAGTAATTTTTGATAATCATTTAAGGTGTGTAAGTTGCTAGTATTTAATTTAACCTTTTGAGGACTTACTGATTGAGGAAGTTAGTATGTATCCAAGATATTTCCAAGGAGAGGACATTGGTATCTTCTCAGGTGCTATGATTAAACCTCTTAACTGTGTATTCTTTACCACAGAGGCATGTAATTTTAAAAGTACTCACTCCAGGCTGGTCATGGTGGCTCACGCCTGTAATCCCAGCACTTTGGGAGGCCGAGGCGGGCGGATCACGAGGTTAGGAGATCGAGACCATCCTGGCTAAAACGGTGAAACCCTGTCTCTACTAAAAATACAAAAAATTAGGTGGGCGTGGTAGCGGGCGCCTGTAGTCCCAGCTACTCAGGAGGCTGAGGCAGGATAATGGTGTGAACCCAGGAGGTGGAGCTTGCAGTGAGCCGAGATTGTGCCACTGCACTCTAGCCTGGGCGACAGAGCAAGACTCTGTCTCAAAAAAAAAAAAAAAAGTACTCGCTCTGTTGGGGCTGCTAGTAAATATCATCCATAACATGGATAATCTTGCAATTAGGAAATAATTTTCTACTGGGGAGCAAAGCCTGATTTACATGATACTGACACACGGTAGGACTGTTCAGCATTCCTTGAGGAAGCACTCTCCAGTGAAATCAACAAACTGGCCTTTCATTATTGATAGCTGGTATTGTAAATGCAAATTTTTCTCTGTCCTGTTCTGCAAGGGGAATCCTATAAAAACAGTCTTTAAGTCAATAACGATTATAGGCCCATCTTGAGGAATCGCTGCGGGGGAGGGGAGGTCCTGTTGAAGAGGCCCCGTAGACTGCAAATTAGCATTAATAGCACGTAAGTCATGCAAAAGTCTCCATTTACCAGAGTTTTGGGGAATGACGAAAATGGGTGAATTCCAAGGGCTGTTAGATGGTTCTATATAACCGGCTTTTAATTGCTCCTCAGCTAATTCATGGGCTCTATGTAATTTCTCTCCCTTCTAAGGTCACTGTTCTACCCAAATAGGATTTCAAGGGAGCCACGTCAAGGGTAGTGGAGGAATAACAGTGGCCATTATTAGAAAGAGGTTTGCAGTTCACATAATTCATCAAATTCTGCCCTCCAGAGGAGGTACTGACTGGCGTTTAAAGTTGTTTTAGCTAGCACTGACCAGTCCCATGGAGTCATATAGAAGTTGTCTGCTCTGGCCTCAATTAATCCTTTCATTAAATGGGCTAGCGGCTCCGTTATCTCTAATGCTTTTCCTTATCTCTTTATGTACCTGATTGCCTTGTTAATCTTGTATTACCTGGCAGGCTAAGAGCTCCCCTTCTAATGCCGCTTGCCTAAGACAGGGTCCCATAGCTATAGCGTATCCCCTGTCTTTTTTCCAATTTATTGGAAGAGGGGGCTCAGGCAAAACCTCCGTATCCTCTTTGTTATTTTGGCTCAGTGATAGCAGGGCTAAGGGATAAGGAGGTGGTAAAGTAGGTGACTGTTTCTCCTTCCTTCCCTTTTTAGGCTTTTCTGTGTATAACGAGGCCAGAGCTGCCTTAATTAAGGCCCATAACATTAGAGATGTTACTGGGACCTGTTGCCCTTGCGCATGATGTTGTTTAAGATTTCTCTCCACTTGTTCCCAGAACTCTACGTCTAGTGTACCTTCTTCTGGGAACCATGAGTTATGGGATACAACAGTTTGCATTAGGTCCCTTAATTGAGCCTGTGAAACCGAGGCTCCACTAATTTTAAGCAGCTGTTTCAATACTTTTATCTACTGTTGCTGTTGAGCTGATAACTGTTGTCCCATGATGAAACCTAGCCTGAACAATTCCCTCAAACTTGGAAATCCCAAGCAGGTACCAATGACTTACTGATTTACTAACTGTGCAGTCTTCTTCACCTTCGTTTTTGAGGGTTCTCTCACAATTCGTGGCAGCGTTCCTCACATGGGGCACCACCTGCCGGGTCTGACCCACAGACCCTTACCCCGTGACAGATGAAAGATGTACACTGACACAGATATTTTGCCCGTCAGCACGGCTAAGGGGATCTGCTGCCTGAGTCCACAGTGTCAACCTTGATAAGCCGGCGAAGTTCACATTTATTTAGTACAGATTTAATGACAAAGGCTTTGAGTTAACACACTTGTGGATAATTAAGATGGTCACTCTCCCAGGAGAGAGCAGTCCTACAAATGATCAAAGGTCAGCACCACATGAGTAAACAAGCTCTTTAGATAAACTCCTTTACATTCCTTTGTACCTCCTCTCAGCTATTAACTCAAGGTAAGAGGATTAGGCTGCTTTCAGCCATAACGCTATCCTGAGGCTTTTGCAAAACCTTCCAGCCTTCCAAGAAGGTTTGTGTCTATTTTACAATTTCTCCCACCACCCTGACTGAACTCCTACACTAACCAGCAAAGTTTCTCCTCAGAAACAGACAACATCCTAGATGTGGACAACTTTTGCAAGATGACAGATTAATGATCAGGGCTTCTCTACTATCATGAAGCTCTTACCTGTCAGTTTTTTCCTTGCTCACACCTCTATGAACAATAAAACTAGGCTGGGGTCAGTGGCTCATGTCAGTAATCCCAGTGCCTTAGGAGGCCAAGGCAGGAAGATTGCTTGAGGCCAGGAGTTCAAGACCAGACTGGGCAACACAGTGAGACACTGTTTGTGGTCAAATTATGGGTTGACCCCCTACTCCAAATATATGAAAATGATTTGCTAGACTTGGTGGCATGCACCAATAGTCCCAGCTACTTAGCAGGCTGAAGCAAGATGATCACTTGAGCTCAGGAGTTTGAGGCTACAGTGTGCTATAATCACACCACTGCACTCCAGCCTGGGCAACAGAGCAAAACCCTGTCTCAAAAGAAAAACCCACAATAAAACCAGAAAATGAGTCTCTTATGTGCATTTCTGGAGTGTACTTTTATTTGTAGAGGATTTTTTAAGCAACCTTATAAACTTATACATGGACAACATTATGCATTGATAAAAGATAAAGGACCAACATGTGTGAAAAATTTTAATATACATTTGTTGCTTCATAATGAATCAAAAAACAAAATATTGGTCCACTCCTCTTAGCTTGTATCATAGGTTAAAGAGAACATTGGCAGGAGGCCTTCACTCTTTTGGATGGACATCATTTGCTAGGTCTCTTTTTACATGATTTGGAGTAAATGATTCAGTAATTAAACATTTATTCCTCATAATAGACCTTATAGCAAATTCTACTACAAAGTCCATGGTTGCACAACAGACTTCTTTAAATTCTCTTACAGCCATGCGTAGAATGTCAAATGGACCCTGTATTAGTTCGTTCTCACACTGCTATGAAAAAATACATGAGATTGGGTAATTTATAAAGGAAAGAGTTTTAATTGACTCGCAGTTTCATATGGCTGGGGAGACCTCAAAAGCATGGCAGAAGGCTAATGAGGAGCAAATTCTCATCTTACAAGCAGGCAAGAGAGCTTGTACAGGGGATCTCCCATTTATAAAACCATCAGCTCTCATGAGACTTATTCACTACCACAAGAACAATATGGGAGAAACTGCCCCCATGATTCAGTTATCTCCACCTGGCCCCACCCTTGACACATGGGGATTAATACAATTCAAGGTGAGAGTTGAGCGGGGACACAGCCAAACCATATCAGCCCCTCTCTGACTAGGATGACAAAAACTCAAAAAAAAGTATGATCGTGAAGTTGCCATAACGTGTGAATGACATGCTGAAGCCAGAAACCCAAAATGATGGTAACTGAGAGTGGCCCTAAATTTTGGTCTTACCTAAGTGAGAACCTGACCACAAGGGGGAAATATTTTAACAAAATTATGGGAGGCCATTGTTGAGGACTGAGCTCATACACTAGGCGCCAACAGATCAGGCCAAGCCAAAATGAAGTCACTCATACTAAATACAACAGAATTAAACTAAAACTTTAAGGAAACAAATAGATCCTAACATAGAGTAGGTTTTGTTTTCTCCTGAAAACAAGAGATTCCAGCACAAGGAGGTCCCCTCTGCTATAACCCTTATTAAAAAAAAAAGTGGCCATGTGCAGTGTCTCACTCCTATAATCCCAGCACTTTGGGAGACTAAGGCAGGTGGATCACCTGAGGTCAGGAGTTCAAGACCAGTCTGGCCAATATGGCAAAACCCTGTCTCTACTAAGACTCTGAAAATTAGCTGGGCATAGTGGTGGGTGCCTGTAATCCCAGCTACTCAGGAGGCTGAGGCAGGAGAATTGCTTGAATCCAGGAGGTGGAGGTTGCATTGAGCCAAGATCGTGCTACTGCACTCCAGCCTGGGTGACAGAGTGAGACTCTGTCTCAAAAAAAAAAAAAGTAACCTGAAGCTGAAGTCCATGTTCTCATCTTACAAAGCCCACTGTTCTACTGTCTCTCAGAGGGATTTGAGACCAAATAAGAACATCACAATGGGGACAGAGTGACATCAATGCCTAAAAATTTGGTCAACCTCTCAAAATTGAGAAGTTGACTAAGAGGTGAAGAGGTTGACCAAGAGGTGGCAATTGTTAAATTAAATTTAGTCGGAAGCTGCTTCCTTTTAAGTTCAGCCTAAAGGTTTTTCTGTACATATTGAACCGTAACCTAACTGGACATGTAAACAGACTGAAACCGACTTTTGTAACAAGCAGCCAAGTCTCAGCCAATCACAGAAGCCATATTTTATCCACTCATGAATAGCCAACTGTTTAGTATTCAAATAAGTCAAATGCCAAGCTGTAACCAATCCGGCTGTTTTTGTACCTCATTTCTATTTCTGTACGTTGCTTTCCTTTTTCTGTCCATAAATCCTTTCAGGCCATGTGGCAGCATTGGAGTCTCTCTTAACCTATTCTGGTTCAAGGGGCTCCCCAATTCACAAATTATTATTTGCCCGATTAAACTCTGTTAAATTTAATCCATCTAAAGTTACTTCAAACAACAGAAAAAGAAATATAATGAATGACCCTTCCACATACTAAAAGCTGTTTAACCTGACTCATAATAAGAGAAGTGCAAATTAAAAGATATTTTTTCTTACTTTCAAGATTATCAAAATCCAAAAGTTTGACAACATACCCGTATGAAGCTGTGGAGAAATAGTGCTCATACATTATTGGCAGAAGTGTAAATTGGCATAAACGCTACAGAAAATGTATTTGTAAGCATTAACTTGGCTGGGAGTAACAGTAAAACACAAAACAACGAATTTATTTTTCATGTTAAACTTCAAATGTAGGCAGACTAAGCATCAAGTGGCTCCATTCCAGGAAGTCCTCACTCAGACTGCTTCTTTCTTGTTCCATTCTCAAGGTCATCTCATGCTTCAAAATGGCAATTCTAGCTCAAGCCATCATGCCCACATTTCAGTCAGCAAGTAAAAGAAAGGAAAGGAAAAGGAAAATTGAAACCTCCATTTAAGGAGGTTTCTTGGAAGTTGTAAGTAGTAAAAATCTCTGCCACAAATATTATTTTGTGAAATTTTTGTTTCAATTTTATAGAAACGTGTACGTATACTCATTGACAGAGCAGAACATATTCCTTTTTTGTGTGTGACAGAGTCTTGCTCTATTGCCCAGGCTGGAGTGCAATGGCGCGATCTCGGCTCACTGCAACCTTGGCCTCCCGGGTTCAAGCAATTCTCCTGCCTCAGCCTCCCAAGTATCTGGGATTACAGGCACGTGCCACCACACCCAGTTAATTTTTGTATTTTTAGTAGAGACAGGGTTTCACTATGTTGACCAGGCTGGTCTCGAACTCCTGACCTCAGGTGATCTGCCCGCCTTGGCCTCCCAAAGTGCTGGGATTACAGGCATGAGCCACCGCGCCTGGCCGCAAAATATATTCTTACAGTGAATCTCAATTTTTAAAATGTTGAAAACTACTATGCTAAGTGAGGCAGTATAATGTAGTACAAGAACACAGAAAGAAAACAGGCATGATTATTGTCTGAACTCCAGTGTGTCTTAGTTCACTGTCTGCTGCTATAACAGACTGTCATACACTGGGTAATTTGTAATGAACAGAAGTTTACTTGGCTCACAGTTCTTGAGGCTGGGAAGTCCAAGAGCATGGTGCCAACATGTAGCAAAGGTCATTTCATGGTGGAAGGTAAGAAAGGACATGACCCAGAGAAATGGGACTGAACTTATCCTTTTTATCAGTAACACCAAAACAAAAAAAAAATCATAAAGGATGAATTGATAAGTTTGACTATACAAAAATTTTGAAGTTCTATATATCAAAACATATTTTAAAATCAGTAGGGAAAGATGAAGTAGACAATAAATGCTGTTGGGACAATTAATTAGCCATTTAAAGAGAAAAAAAACTGGCATCTGTGAAATTCCCAACATCAAAAGCATGTCTCAACATGCAAAAATCCTAAAGGAAAAGACTGACAAATTCAACAGTAACACTCAAGGCCCAGGCAGGAAGCAGAAACCATACCAGCTATTTTAACAGAGAGGATTTAATATAAAGAATTGTTAACTAGGAACTCAGGGAATAAAAAGGCAGAAAGAGGACACTGAGATATCACAGGGAAAATGCAGAAAGCAGCTACTACCCATAGGACTGGGAGAACAAAGGGAAGGAGTGGGGATTATTAAAATTTAGAAGGTTGGTACCCTATCTCTACTAAAAATACAAAAAATTAGCCGGGTGTGGTGGCAGGTACCTGTAGTCCCAGCTACTCGGGAGGCTGAGGCAGAAGAAAGGTGTGAACCCAGGAGGTGGAGCTTGCAGTGAGCCAAGATTGCGCCACTGCACTCCAGCCTGGGCGAAAGAGCAAAATTCCGTCTCAGAAAAAAAAAAAAAAAAAAAAAACTTAGGAGGTTGGAGATGGGGCTCATTGAACTGGAAGTCAGATCGCTGAAAGCATGGACAGGTGGGGTGCCCATTGGCTGGCATTTCTAAGGGAGTGCAATGAGGATGTTTCTGCAAGAATTGGAAAAACCACAAACTGAAACCCACTGCCACCCTAGAACCAAGTTACTACTGTGTGAAGATTCTTTGCTTAAGTGATGCTGACAGGAACAAAGAAAAGATAAAAAAGATCAAGCCCTGTATTCTTCCTTTATCCACCCAGTCTCCCTCTCCTGCCTCCCACTGGCAGGGCTTAGCAGGGAACCAGCTGGCAAAGCAGAAATGTGGTTTGCAGAGTCCCAGACCCACATCACAAAGCAGAATACAGAAGGGTGGATTTGAAGCTGAATGATGATAGCTTAATAATCAGTACATTAGCTCTATATGAATATAAAACAACTAAATAAAATAACAAAAGCATCAGAAAAATTACATAATGCATGTGTAATTTGGGAGTTGGAAAGACTCTAAAAAAAGGAAACTAAGAAGACGGTAAAGAAAAATATAGACATATTTCACAACATTAAAAAAATTAAAGGTGGTATAGCAAAAGATATCATAAACATAGACAAAAGGCAAAAAATAGAGGAAATACTAGCAATACATATGAAAGATACATAATATGTGTAATATATTAGGAGCTCTTGCAAATTATCAAGAAAATGGCAAAAACAATCTAGTAGAAAAAGGGCAAAAGTTATGAATAACAATTTACAAAAAATCCGAAGGATAATAAACATTGCAAGGCTGCTGGATCTCACTGTTTGTTAGGGAAATATAAATTAATATGTTAGTGAAATATAACTTCTGTGAACACACAAAGCATGGATTAGATATAACACCTACTAGTGGTAGGGATGCAGGAAAAAGTATGCTCTATTTCACTGCTGAAAATGTGAAATAGTGAAGCCATTTAGGAAAGAAGTCTGAAAATACCTTTAAAAATGTTTAAATCATATTATTTCAATCTAGTAATCCCACAGATAAATCCCTGAGAATTTATCCAACAGATATAAAAGCATCAGTCCAAAATATACATTTCTAAAATATTTAGTATAAAAATATTTGAGTAGCAAAACATTGTGAAGGAAATAAACACCAATTAGTAGGGGAATGGTTGAATAAGCTGTGTGATTCATTGACTACAATGAAGCCATTAAAAGGACAGAATTCCATTTATACCAAGTAAATTGAAGAGATTTTTCACAATGTATTTTCAAGTAAGAAAAACAATCTGCAGGAAAGTATATACAATTTAGTCACATTATTATGAAATAAATGAAAATGTAAATATCCATATATGTATTTATTTATTTGTAGGCTATTATATAAACATAGAGAAAAGTGTGAAAAATAACAGGTCAGAAAGTTATTAGTGACCTGGAAGGATCAGAAGGAAAGAAAGAGGAACATGTAAATACCATAAAGAGATGATTAAAAGTCTGGTTAACAGGCTGGGCACGGTGGCTCATGCCTGTAATCCCAGAACTTTGGGAGGCCAAGGTGGGTGGATCACTTGAGGTCAGGATTTTGAGACCAGCCTGGCCAACATGGTGAAACACTGTCTCTACTAAAAATACAAAAATTAGCCAGGTGTGGTGGTGCCTGCCTGTAATCCCAGCTACTCGGGAGGCTGAGGCATGAGGATTGCTTGAACCCAGGAGATAGAGGTTGCAGTGAGCTGAGATTACACCACTGCACTCCAGCCTGGGCAACAGAGTGAGACTCTGTCTCAAAAAATAAATAAATAAATAAATAAATGTCTGGTTAACGAAATGTAAAAGAAAATAATATTTAACACCTTCATGTCAAGCATTGGTTGTTGTTTTTTAAATATTATATTATTAAACAGTTTGAGTCACAAGAATTTGCAAAAATAGTACAGCAAGTTCCCTTGTACTCTTCATCCAGCTTTTCCTAATATGTTACAAAACCATAGTGATGCAGGATTTTTTGCTCCTTAGTTCAGCTAAATCAGGTTTCTTGTCTCATGACCAGGAAAAATTAGGCATGCAGACACATTGAAGGGTGAGGAGGGCGGAATTTTTTAAGTGAAAAGAAAGCTGTCAGCAAAAAGAGAAGGTCACGCCAGCAGGCTCCAACCTCATAGATTGAATACCAGGCTGCCACACATGAGCTGAAGAGGACAGGCTGCTCCCCTGCGTAAGGTGTGAACTCCTGGTGGCTCCACCCCAATCCTCCAGTCCATTGCGGGCATGCCCTGACAAGACCCTGTGCAGGTTCCCTTATCTGCACAAAAATATCTGGTGTAAACATTTGTGCAGCAGGTCGGAGATCTTCCAGAGACCCTTTTTTATCTGCCTAGGCATTTGTCTGCCTCTTGCCTCTATCAATAGTATATTGTCAAAACCAGAAAATTGCAGTTGGTACAATACTATTAACTCAGGGACAGATCTTATTTGGATTTCACCAGTTTTTTACAACGAGAATTTATTTTTATTTTTATTTTATTTATTTATTTATTTTTGAGATGGAGTCTCACTCTGTCTCGCACAGGCTGGAGTGCAGTGGTGCAATCTCGGCTAAGTGCAGCCTCTGACTCCTAGGTTCAAGCAATTCTCATGTCTCAGCCTCCTGAATAGCTGAGACTACAGGCATGTGCCACCACACCGAAGTAATTTTGTATTTTTAGTAGAGATGGGGTTTCATCATGTTGGCCAGGCTGGTCTTGAACTCCTGACCTTAGGTGATCCACCCGCCTCGGCTTTCCAAAGTGCTGGGATTACAGGCATGAGCCACTGCACCCAGCTCAAGAATTGATATTTAAATGCATATTTTGTCATTTCCCAGAACTTGAGACAATAGTAAGCCCATAAGTCCCATTACAAAACTCTGTAGAAGACTCATCTAAAGTAATAAACTTCCCAGTTATCTCTTCTGAAAAGCTAAAAAGCAAATAGACCACTTAAGTAAGGAAGCACATCCTTTTACAACTCTTTTTGTAAAAGTCATGTAATCATCAGAGGTTAAATTGCTACCTTCCAGATCCTACACAGACTTTATTAGGATTTAGATAGGCATCCTTGAACCCACAACAAAAGTAAGAAGCTGCAAACTACAGGTTGATATTCATATCAGAAGGATGATACTCAAAAGGTTTAACAGCTAGTGTGGCCCAGCAACAATCAGCACTGAGGCCAGCTTTAAGCTACCGAAATAGCTGTCCTAGGGCCTCCCAGCTGAATTTCAGTCCTGAGGAAAGTAAGGCACAGAGACATACATATTTATTAATCTGTAGAGTAAGATTCTGATCCAGATCTCAAAACTCCTAAATTTTCCAGCAAAGAAATAGGATAACTGATATGGTTTAGCTCTGTGTCCCCACCCAAATCTCATCTTGAATTATAATCCCCATGTGTCGAGGGAGGGAAGTGATTGGATCATGGGGGGGTGTTTTCCCCCTTGCTGTTTTCATGATAGTGACTAAGTTCTCATGAGATCTGATGATTTAATAAGTGTTTGACAGTTCCTCCTTCGCACACTCACATTCCCTCCTGCCACCTTGTGAAGAAGGTGCCTGCTTCCCCTTCCACGATGATTGTAAGTTTCCTGAGTCCTCCCCAGCCACGTGGAACTGTGAGTCAGTGGAACCTCCTTTGTTTATAAATTACCGAGTGTCAAGTAGTATCTTTATAGCAGTGTGAAAATGAACTAATACAATAACCTTCCTTATTATACTCAACTAAAGAAAACTTTTAAATTACAAAATGACAATTGCGAGCCTGGAGCATTATTTCTAAAATGCTTTTCCTCAGAGCAGTATTTTTCTATTAGCATATTACAGTTATAGTCTGAAATTTACATTTTAAAAACATTACTTCAAAATTTTTAGAAAAATAAGTCACACACACATACACACACACTATAATAACCATTAGTTCCTGAGAACAATAGATGAATAAACATGAGACCTACCAAGTAGCTCAATAGTTCTTTATGGTTTTGAAATTCTACAGATTAATTTTTATTTTCTCATATGTGAGCAATTGCTTTGTGTTATTTCTCTGTACTCTATAAAATAAAATATCAAACCTTAAATTTTCTCACTGTATAGTAGATACATTCCTAATTCACTTGTTACCATTTACAGTTCACATAAAACATGGAACACAAACACATTAAACATGTGAGAATGGTAAGGATTTAGGGAAACAGGAACTCTCATTGGTAGAGGGAGTCAACTGGCACTTTTCAGGAAGAAACATTTTAATATTTAGTAAGAAGTTACCAAGCTGTTTATCCTTTGGACTTCCACTGCTAGGATTCTATTCTAATTGAATAACCAGACATCTAAATAAAGATTTATATATAAGAAATATATAAGAATGTTGATCCCATCAATGTTTACAGAGTGAAAAATCAGAAACATTATATATCTCTAGCAGTTAGGGTATGGGTATATAAAATATGGTACATACTTAAGAAAGAAAACACTACAACTTTTTTTTTTGAGACCATCTCACTCTGTTTTCCAGGCTGGAGTACAGTGGTATGATCATGGCTCACTGCAGCCTTGACCTCTCAGGCTCAAGTGATCCTCCTACTTCAGCCTCCCAAGTAGTTGGTACTTTACAGGTACATGCCACCACACTCCACTAATTTTATTTTTTATTTTTTGTAGAGACAGGTCTCACTCTATTGCCCAGCCTGGTCTTGAACTTCTGGACTCAAGCAATCCTCCCACCTGGGCCTTCCAAAGGCATGCAATTACAAGTGTGAGCCACTGCGCCTGGCCTACAACTTTTAAAAACAGTATTTTAAAAGTATAGTTAAAGATATGGGGAAATCTTCAGTGGAAAAAGTTAATAAGGGCAATTTGCTTTTTGTAGAAATATTCCAGCTAATACATGAAGAGGGAATGATAGAATTAAAACATCACCACTTTGCAACCCTTAGTAAACCAAATGGATCTGGGCAATGACCATCAATAGCTTTTTAAATCACAAAGAGTCAAGCAGACATTATGAACCTTCTTATTAAAGTACACAAAATACTTTTTAAAAAGTCTTGCCCCCCCCACCAAAAAATAAAAATCAAAACTGAATCTAATCAAGCCGAGATCTAACTACCAATTTATGGAAATTAAGGGCAGGGGAGCATATTAAACTACACTGTGGCAAAGCAGTCAGTAAAATCTGGATGTAGGAAACTCAACAAGACAACCTGATTTCTGTTAAAAAGTCATTTTGAAGGAATAAAAAGAGATTGAGTAGGAAGCAACAGATGAAGAGAATCTTAAGTGATATATCAGTGAATTATTAATATAATGTATGGACTTTCTAAGAATCCTGATTCAAATAAAGAAACTGTAAATATATATATTTATACAGAAAAAATTACTCATGACACTTTTTTTTTTTAAGACAGAGTCTCGCTTTGTCACCCAGGCTGGAGTGCAGTGGCGCAAACTCAGCTCACTGCAAGCTCCATCTCCAGGGTTCAAGCGATTCTCCTGCCTCAGCCTCCCAAGTAGCTGGGAATACAAGCATATGCCATCACCCCCAACCAAATTTTTGTATTTTTAGTAGAGACAGGGTTTCACCCTGTTAGCCAGGATGGTCTTGATCTCCTGATGTCATGATCTGCCCGCCTTGGCCTCCCAAAGTGCTGGGATTACAGGCGTGAGCCACCGTGCCCAGCCCATGACACTTATTAAAGATGATAAGGCAGACTTTATTCAGGGGTGACCATGGTGATAGGTATAGGGTCCACTGCAGCAAGGTCTTGCATTGGAGGAGAGAGATTACACTTGACTCTGACTGCAGCAAGGACAAGTGGGGATTTATAACCAAAGATCAGGGTGGGGTCAGTGGATGGAAAATTACTAAGAAGAAACAGCAAGGATAAGAAGTTTCTGGCTAAACAGACTTTACAGGATTATTGCTGAAGGCAGACCAGGGTGGTAATATATCAAGAGTGGTCACATACCAAGGTTGAGGAATTTTCACTGAACTGACTGTAGGATTCTTGCTCCAACTGGCTTCTACACAGACAGAGAGGGAAGCCCAAGTTTAGGCCTAGTCAGAAAAGACTCAGGAGACTGACTGAAGTTTTAGTCAAAAAGAGAGTCTTTGTCTATATGTAAACCTGGGAAATATGAACACTGGAGATTTGGTAATATTAAGAAATCATGGATAATGATAAAGGTAATCATTTTTTAAAAAAGAGTTCCTATCTTTTAGACTTACATACTGAAATATTTGTGGATGAAATAATAATATGAAGTGATGGTTTGAAATGTGCTTCAAATATCCCTGAGCGGAAGGGGACTGGGAGGGGTTTTTAGTCATTTCAGGCTGCTATAACAAAGTTCCATAGACTGGGTGACTCAAACAACAAACATTTAGTTTCTCACAGCTCTGGAGGATGGGAAGTGAAAGATCAAGGTGCCAGAAGATTTCGTGTGTTGTGAGGGCCCTCTTCCAGTTTACGGACAGGCTCCTTGCTGTATCCTCACATGGCGCACACACACACACACACACACACACACACAGAGAGAGAGAGAGAGAGAGAGAGAGAAAGAGAACTCTAGTCTCCTCCTCTTCTTAAAAGGACATCGATCTCATCATGAAGGCCTCACCATCAAGACCTCAGCTAAACCCAGTCACCTCCCAAAGGCCCCACCTCCTAATACTGTCACATTGGGGGTTAGAGCTTCCACATGTGAATCTGGGGGAGACACAAACATTTAGTCCTTAACAGTGGAGTAAAGATAAAACACGTTTGTCCACAAGCTAATAATTGTCAAAGCTGGAGGATAGGAATGTGGGGGTTCATTCTCTATTTTTGTGTGTGGAATTTTCCATAATATAATTTTTTTAATACAAGTAGACTCACAAGAGACTAAGGACATTTCCTGGGGCATATAGATATAGATATACATTTTTTTTTTTGAGACAGAGTCTCGCTCTGTCACCCAGGCTGGAGTGCAGTGACGCGATCTTGGCTCACTGCAACCTCCGCCTCCCGAGTTCAAGCGATTCTCCCACCTCAGCCTCCCGAGTAGCTAGGATTACAGGCACTCGCTATCATGCCCGGCTTATTTTTTTGTATTTTTAGTAGAGACGAGGTTTCACCATGTTGGCCAAGCTGGTCTTAAACTTGTGACCTCAGGTGATCCGCCTGGGCCATATTTTTTATGCCTTGTAATGAATAAACAAATAGCCTGTAATCCCAACACTTTGGGAGGCCAAGGTGGGCGGATCACAAGGTCAGGAGAGCGAGACCATCCTGGCTAACACAGTGAAACCCTGTCTCTACTAAAAATACAAAAAATTAGCCAGGCATGGTGGCGGGTGCCTGTAGTCCCAGCTACTCGGGAGGCTGAGGCAGGAGAATAGCATGAACCCAGAAGGCAGAGCTTGCAGTGAGCCGAGATTGCGCCACTGCACTCCAGCCTGGGCGACAGAATGAGACTCCGTCTCAAAAAAAAAAAAAAAAAAAAAGAATTGCAATTATTTAGAATTATTTACAATATGACTTGTAACCTGAAGTTCCTTTTCAGGTTATAAGTCCTAAATTTGGATTTGGAAAATATAGCAATCATGCCCTTGGTCTAGAGAAAATACTCATCTATGCATCTAAGTCTTCGCTGCCAAGGCCTGTAAGACTCAGGATATAGGGCAAATCTTCCCTAAGTCATTGGCACTGACCCCAGAGGTGTCACATCTAGAGCCTTAAGCAAGTTCTTCATCCAGAGATTAGAGATGATCATGTCAAGGAGGAAATATAATTTATCCTCAACATCATAAGTTTGCAATTGGACAGATTATCAAGAGAAAACAAGCAAGTTTATTAACACCTGCAGTGTACATCACGCAGGGGAAACATAATCAGAAGGTGACTCAAAGCAGTGGTTTAGAATTCTGGCATATATATGTTTTAATAAAAAAAAAAATTCAAGAGAAGTGACACGACAAAGGAAATCAGGTTTAGGCTTCCAAAGGCAGGAAACTATGGGGAGGTAAATATATGGGGAAATTAATGGTAGGTAATGGGTCATTATTAAGTTTGTTTGAAGATTCCTTTGGTGCTATCTCTAAGCTGATATGAGTTATTTCCAGTGAAGGAGAATGTATATCCTGTTTTTAGGTAGAAAAGCTGGGAGGATAGAAAGAGCTCTTCCTCTGTTTGCTTAATTGCCTTTAGCTCAAAAATATTGGTGTCAAAGAGGCATGTTTTGGGGTCACATATTCTAGTTTCTTTCCGTTTTTATTTAGTTCAGTCCTCTAGAATTTTTCTTCTAAGTAACTTAAGTCCAAGAAGAGAAATGCAGAGATATTCTGGATTTGCTTAGAGTCACCTGGATAAACTTATTTATTCTTTCCTCAATGTACATTTATTAAACCCCCACTTTTCAATAACATTTAATAATTTAATGACCTAATAAATATATATAGTAAAATATATATATTATGTATATAGTATAAATATATTTATATATGAAATATATATGTACTATGTATTATATACTATATATAGCACAGATATATTTATATATTTAGTATATAAATATATCTGTGCTATATATAGTATATAATATATAGCATATATTATATATTTTTAAGTTTAGTAAATATAGGCCGGGCGCAGTGGCTCATGCCTATAATCCCAGGACTTTGGGAAGCTGGGGTGGGCAGATCACCTGAGGTGGGGAGTTTGAGACCAGCCTGACCAACAGGAGAAACCCCGTCTCTACTAAAAATAACAAAATTAGCCAGGTGTGGTGGCACATGCCTGTAATCCCAGCCACTTGGGAGGCTGAGGCAGGAGAATTGCTTGAACCCGGGAGGCGGAGGTTGTGGTGAGCCAAGATTGCGCCACTGCACTCTAGCCTGGGCAACGAGAGCAAAAAACTCCATCTCAAAAAAAATAAAACAGTTTAGTAAAAATATAGTATATAGTAAATTATATAGTATATAATTTAGTATATATATTACTATATAGTATATAGTAAATTATATAGTATATAATTTAGCATATATCTACCATATATATATACACATAAACATACTTATACACACATTCACACACTCACAAGTACATGCACATTTATATCAGTTGTGATCTGAAGCCAGAAAAAAAAATTCAAACTTTTTTTTTCTCTTTCTATACCCCTTACTCTTTTCTATGAAATATGATTACAAGGGCTAATAGTTACAGAATAAGTAAGCTAACTTTTCTGTAGTAAATAGTTCACAGATACTTCCTTTATATAGTAGCTATTTTCTTTTTAGCAGTGCTATGGTTTGAATGTCCCCTCCAAAACTCATGTCGAAACTTAATCCCCAATGTGGCATTATTGAGAGGTGGTCCCTTTAAGAGGTGACTGGATCATGAAGGCTCTACCCTCATGAATGGATGAATTCATTCATAGATAAATGAATTTGAAACTGCCTTTGCAAAAATTATAACAGTGAGAAAATTATGATAGTAAAAGAGATCTGATCTAACCAACCCCCATCTTCTCTTTAGCTTCCAAACTGCCCTCAATTATTCCTGGGCTTGGGCCAAGCTAACTTTGGGAGACAGTTTATAGTTTCAGTGATAATAACTATTCCCCAAAACCAAACTGCCTTTGTGAAACTAATGAAAGACCACCAGGTTAGGAGGATGAGAGGAGCCTGAATTCTGCTAAGTTGTAGATGTAAACAATTAACAGCCATTATTCAGGAGGTCACAAGATTTGCAACTTCCCCAATTACTCCTGCAGATAACATCACTATTGTAGAACCTAAGACTGCCCTTTGGAGATATCTTTTCAGGTTTTTGCATTTCTGGTCAATGGCTCCACCCAGACCCAGCAATGGTCCTGTGGCCTCACCCAGAAGAAGATTCCACATACACAAGGACCATTTTCCACAACCCAGTGATTGCATCCTCAACCAGTCAGCAGTACCCATTCCCTGGCCCACCAAACTATTCTTGAAAAACCCTAGCCTCTGAATTTTGGGGGAGGCTGATTGGAGTGATAATAAACTCTGGTCCCCATTCAGCCAGTTTTATGTCAATTAAACTTTTTCTCTATTGCAATTCCCCTGTCTTGATAAGTCAGCTCTTTCTGGGCAGTGGGCAAAATGAACCCATTGGGTGGTTACAGATTAATGAGTTAATAGATTAATAGGCTTTATAAGAAGAAGAAGAGAGACCCGGGCTAGCATGTTAACACACTCAGCCCCCTCCCCATATAATACCTTGCTTTGCCTCAGGACTCTTCAGAGAGTCTCCCAGCAAGAAGGCTTTCACCAGATGTTTCCCTTCCTGCTTCGACTTCCAAGGCTCCAGACCAGTAAGAAATACATTTCATTTCTTATAGATTACCCACTTTCAGGTATTTTGTTATAAGTAATAGAAAATGGACTAAGGCAAGCAGTAAACCAGATGTTTGAAGTTGAGAGAAGACCTAAGAGTACTGTTACCGTACCCTGTGCAAGAGCTGTTCTTCAATTATCCTTTCTCCTTTGGAATCATCCATGACCCAGGTTGGAAATATACACCTAAGCATCCAAAGCTCTGAAAAATAACCAGGAAATTTAGGAAGAGCAAAGGGCACAAGTGCCAAATTAATAAAATTATCTATTTAGGGCAATTATTTTCATTTGTACAGTAGGGTCAAGTAACTAGATTATGTAATATATATATACTATAGTTACAATATATATTATAACTATCTCTGTAAGTAAAAGCTCTACCTGAAGAGGTAATGTGTAATGAATGAAAGTGTCTCAGAGGTGTTTGAACCAGAGCAACTCCATCTTAATTAGCAGCAGGGTAAAATGAGGCTAAAACCTACTGGGCTCCATTCCCAGACAGTTAAGGCATTCTAAGTCACAGGATGAGATGGGAGGTCAGCACAAAATACAGGTCATAAAGACCTTGCTGATAAAACAGTTGCAGTAAAGAAGCTAGCCCAAACCCACCAAAACCAAGATGGTGATGAGAGTGACCTCTGGTCGTCCTCACTGCTATACTCCCACCAGCGCCATGACAGTTTACAAATGCCATGGCAATGTCAGGAAGTTACCCTATATGGTCTAAACATGGGAGGCATGAATAACTGACCCCTTGTTTCACATATCATCAAGAAAAACTATTAAAATCGGCAATCAGCAGCTCTCGGGGCTGCTCTGTCTCTGCAGTAACCATTCTTTTATTCCTTTACTTTCGTAATAAACTTGCTTTCACTTTACTGTATGGACTTGCCATGAATTCTTTCTTGCATGAAATCCAAGAACCCTCTGGTGGGGTCTGGATTGGTACCCCTTTCCTGTAACAAAAGCAGTACTAGAGCAAAGGCTACCAGATAAAATTCCCTGCATCACAATTTGAAAGTTGTGTGATCTTGGGCAAATTATTTCATATTTCTGTACTTTCATTTTCTCATCTATAAAATTTGGGTGACACTAATGCCTATTTTATTGAGTCCTGGTGAGGATGACATGGGAGAGAAAAAGAGAGAGAATTATTAGGCACAGCCTCTGTCATGTAATATGATACCAAATTGTAGCGAGGAGGAAGAGTAACAGGAACTCTGATGGTCTTACATTTTGCTTACGTTTTGTAGTTATGACTATAAAATGGTATGTACACTTTGAAAGCTGTTCTTCAGTTTCTAATCAAGTTCAGCTTACGCTTACCATATGATCCAGCAATCCACTACTAGGCATTTACCCAAGATAAATAAAAAATTAAATTTACAAGTTCTGTTCAGAAGTGTTCATAGCATCTTTGTTCATAACCAGAAACAACCCAAATGTTCATCAACAGGAAAACTAATCAACCAATCGTGGTATGTTCACACAATGGAATACTACTCAGCAATATAAAAGAATGAACAACTGAAACACACAACAATGTGGAAAAATATCACAGACATGATTTTGATCAAAAGAAGCCACATACTAAAGAATACATACTTTATTTTTCCATTTATGTGAATTTAACAAATAGGCAAAATTAATTTTTTTTTTTTTTTTTGAGACAGAATCTCACACTGTTGCCTGGGCTGGAGTGCAGTGGCGTGATCTTGGCTCATGGCTACCTCTGCCTCCCGGGTTCAAGTGATTCTCCTGCCTCAGCCTCCCGAGTAGCTGGGACTACAGGCATGCATCACCACGCCCGGCTACTTTTTTGTATTTATAATAGAGATGGGGTTTCACTGTGTTGGCCAGGCTGGTCTCAAACTCCTAACCTCAGGTGATCCACCCGCCTCGGCCTCCCAAAGTGCTGGGATTACAGGCATGAGCCACCGCGCCCGGCCCATCTCATTTATGTTTAAATTTACTTATTTAGTGTTTATTGGTCATTTAGTTTATGCCAACAGTTTTTACATATACTTTGCTACATGTACTTTCATATATTCTTATAATGATTCTATGATTTAGGCATTATTATTATACAGCAATATATGATACATGGCTAAGAGAGGTTAAGTAACTTAATCAAGGCCACACAACTAGTAAGTGATATTGCTGGGTTTGGGGTCTTTTCACTTACAATGCTATCTTGTCTTCCTTACTGCAGACTGAGTTTGCAAATCAATCTCATAACTAGAACAAATCATGTTAATTGGAGTTTATTATTATTATGTACTTAAGCAAACTTTTTAACATAGTTTCAGACTTGTGACCTACACAACTGTGAGAGAATAAATGGGTATTGCTTTAAGCCACTATGTTTGTGATATCTTGTTACACCAGCAATAGGGAAATAATACAGATATCTTGCTCTTTTCCAAACCAGGCACCAGCCACTGCCAAAGCATTTTCCACGAAGGATGCTATGGGCACCCCAAAATATGTAATACTATATGATGCCCACATTAGATGTTAAATATGCTTTTCAAAAATAAAATTACTGTTTTACTGAGGGATATATTGGTGACTAGGAGTAGAAAGCCATTCAAGCAACTGAAGCTACAGGGAGTTTGTTTTGAGGATAAAGAGGGAAATCTCATGGACCACCAAGCACAGATAATGAACTTAGCCACTACATGAAAGAAAATGGATCAGATAGCATTTACAGAAAAGGTTTCCCACACAGCTTCAAGCAGGAGCCGAATGAGAATAAATATAAAAATAGATAATACCAACAAACTAGTTTAAATGCTCCATTTCCCCCCATACACTGCACATTCATGGGTTATTTGATAACATCTTCTAAAATTCTGGTTATGTAAAAGCTATGCAATTTAGGATTTTAAAGAAACATCTAGGGTGGCCACACTTGGGGGAAACAGGGAGGAGGGATACAGAGTAGTACTTTTTTTTTTTTTTTTGAGATGAAGTCTCGCTCTCTCTCCCGGCTGGAGTGCAGTGGTGTGATCTTAGCTCACAGCAACCTCTGCCTCCCGGGTTCAAGTGATTCTGCTACCTCAGCCTCCTGAGTAGTTGGGATTACAGGTGCGTGCCACCACATGCAGCTGATTTTTAATTTTTAGTAGAGATGGGGTTTTGCCATGTTGGCCAGGCTGGTCTGGAACTCCTAACCTCAGGTGATCCACCCGCCTCTGCTTCCCAAATTGCTGGGATTACAGGCGTGAGCCACCGTGCCCAGTCCAGAGTAGTACTGTGAATGAAAGGAAAATTCACAGGTCTTTATGATGGCTTGGGTATAGGGGTGAGAGACAATAAGGAATTACATATGATTCCCAGAATTCCAGCTCCTCTATAAGCTTCAAGTGGACAAATGCAGAATCTTTCTTTTTGTTTCCATTGTATCTACAGTGTTCAGCACACAGTAGATGCTCAATAATTGTTTGTTGTTCAGTTATAGAAACCACTGAATTTTGTTCTTTTTTTAACAGGGAAATGACATGATCAGGTAGCTAGTTTTTCAGCAGTGTGGAGGATGAACAAGGCCCAGAGAGGATGGCAGAGACTGAGAGCTGTCTATCCAAATGCAGCCTCCTTTCCTTCCTGAGCATATAGCTAGCTGACATTTCCCAGCGTCCTCTTAAGTTGGGTGTGGCCATGTGAGCATGTTCTAGCCAATGGAATGTAAGATGGAAGTGATGGAAGTGATGCACACCACTTCCACACCAGCACCTTAAGACCAGGCTGACCCTTTTCCTGCTTTCCCTTTCCACCAGCTGAATTTTGGCAATGGTGACCCTGCCTCAATCATGCAAAAGAGATGAATGTCCTTGCAAATGACAAAGGACTAAGATGGAAGGAGTTTGGATCTGTGAATCACTACATGGAGAAAAGCCATCTGCTGACCTAGAAACTTACTCTGGATGAGATGAGAAATGAATTTATTGTTCTTTAAGATGCTGAATTTTGGAGGTTTATTTTTTCTATCCACATAGCCACCGTTATTAACATGGGGTGGGAGTCAGAGAGTGACACTAGAAACAGGACTATTTTAATAAACCAGGTAAGAGATGATGAATACTGGCCAGGCACAGTGGCTCACGCCTGTAATCCCAGCACTTTGGAAGGCTGAGGTGGGTGGATCACCTGAGGTCAGGAGTTCGAGACCAGCCTGATCAATATGATGAAACCTGTCTCTACTAAAAATATAAAAGATTAGTTGGGCATGGTTGTGTGTGCCTGTAATCCCACTACTTGGGAGGCTGAGGCAGGAGAATCACTTGAACCTAGGAGGCGGAGGTTGCAGTGAGCCAAGATCACTCCATTGCATTCCAGCCTGGGTGACAGAGTGAGACTCCGTCTCAAAAAAAAAGAAAGATGATGAAAACCTGTGATGGGATTGGTGGGGGTAGGTGAAGAAAAGATATGAACAAATTTATAAAATACACTCAACATGACTGCTTTACCTTCAAATTTCTTAAAATCTTGACACTTCTGTAGCTTACTACAAGATTTTCTGCAAGGAGACTTTATTCCCACCGGTTAACTAAAACTTCTCTTTCCAAATTTATTAGAGGCCTAAAACCAGCAAATCCAATCTGGCCTTTTCTTGGTCTTTATAGTTGTCTCCTCTCTATAGCATACGACACTGTTGATCACCCCACCCACCCTGTAGCTTTTTACATGCTGGCTCTAATACCTTCCATTCTTTCTGTGTTGTTGTTGTTTTTTTCCATCAGCTTATTCTTATTCCATGCCCTTCTAAACATAGGGGCTCCTCAAGGTCCTGTCCTTAAATGCATTCTCCTTTTTTTATCTAGACACATTCACTCTCATGGCTTCAACTAGGCGGAATGTGACTGACCAACAGTGTGGCTCATCCTTGTGGAGGAGAACAGATGCCAATTAATTTGACATGACCATATCCAACCCAGGAAGTGGGTGGGAGGTAGGAAGGCAAATGAGCATCTCTCTCTTCCTATTTCAGATATGAATAGGTTATTTCCTCTGATGGAAAAAAACATGCAGAACTTTCTGTAAGTGAAGGAGTGGACTTTGGAGAACAAGCAGGATTGTCCAATAAATGACCTGAGAACACTTTTTGTGTTGCCTGCCTATGAACAGTTGGTTCCCTGTCCGCCAGGTGGAAGGGGCTATGCCTGAACTCAGCTTCCCAAGAGACCTGGTGGTTGAACTGCTAATGTTTTCCTGAATCCGCATGAACAGGTGGTGTCTAGCCTCACACTTTCAAATGCTAAAGCCTGAATGGTTTACCTCCAGTAAACCTCCAGTAGGAAACAACCTACTTGACTCTAGACTTCTTTTACCCACTGCTGTCACTCACCAATCAGAACCTGTCAGCTCCTCAAAACTTTATTAGTGCCTATGAATTTTCTTTCAAAGTAATACATAACATTTCTCCTTTTTTAAAACCTCCAACCTTCCCTTTGTTCTTCATACATACCCAAAACCACCATGCCGGTATTTATGCCTTGAATTGCAATTCTTGTGTCCCAAATAAAACATTTTAAAATTAGTCTCTCTATTTTATTTGACTTTGGCAATCTTATGCAATTTATTGAATACTGTGCTGAAAGTTTTCTGAGCACGTTTAATGTAGGCTAGGTTAAGCTATAATGTTTGGTATGTTAGGTATATTAAACATATTTTCAACTTGTGATGTTTTCAATTTACAATTAGTTTATTGGGATGTAACCCCATCATAAGTCAAGGAGCATCTGTAGTTTGAAATAGTAAGATTACATTATGAAGAAAGGTTTAAATCCATGATCTGCCTGCAATTTGTCTGAGGCTTGGTTGAGACAATTGCCTGTACCTATTACACCATAGTTCACTTTCCCATCCTTCCTAGGCGTTAAATTGTGTTCCCTTCAGCCTACGTCATCCAGGAGAGTTGGGAGACTGGGTGGTAATCATATGTGTGATCAATGCTTCTGAAATTTTGTTTCTTTAGAGAAACCAAAAATATACCACATTTAATAAGAGAAAGTCAATATATTAATATAGAGGAGAGAAGAGGAAGGAAATTGACATTTGCCAAGAGCTTACTTTGTGCCAAACTGTGTGAGAGTCTACTTTAATATCAAGGGTTGTTTGTTACATAATGCTTAACCTTTCTATTATAATGCTTGTTTCCTTGTTTGGTATAGGAAAATGTATCTATTTATTATATGTTTATTAAGTGAAATTAAATTTACTCATCAATTTTATGATATTTAGCTACTTACAACTTTACAGATATTGTTATAACTAACACAACCAATATATGAGACCATTTAGACTATCTTTCGTTAAGGTAGAAAGTACTTATATTCCTTTTAAAGTCAATTATGGTACATGTGAAAATAATAATGATTATAGCAGAAATGCATATTGAAACAGAATCTCACTCTATTGCCCAGGCTGGAGTACAGTGGCATGATCATATCTCACTGCAACTTCTACCTCCTGGGCTCAAGCAATCCTCTTACCTCAGCCTCCTGAGTAGCTGGGACTATAGGTACGTGCCACCATGCCTGGGTAAGTTTTTTATTTTTTATGTGTACAGATAGGGTTTTGCCATGTTGCCAAGGCTGGTGTCAAAACTCCTGGGCTCAAGTGATCCCCCACCTTGGCCTCCCAAAGTGCTGGTATTACAGGCATGAGTCACCACGCCCTGCCCCCAAAATATTTTTAAAATACGTTATACAACTATATTTTTCTGTGACTGTTTTTCTGAACCCACACTGACCCCTAGCACAATATATTTATCTATTAACTTTTTTTAGTTGTATATATTTAAGGTGTATCATGTAATTTTGAGACATATATACATAGTGAAATGAATACTACAATCACGCAAATTAACATATTCATCATCTCACATGGTTACCTTTTATGTGTATGGTTCTATAAACTCTTACTTGAAATTTGTTTAATTATTTCATCACAGGATTCTTGTAGAAAGTTAATGAGTAGGAGGCCAGGCGTGGTGGCTCATGTCTGTAATCCCAGCACATTGGGAGGCCAAGATGGACAGATCACCTGAGGTCAGGAGTTTGAGACCAGTCTGGCCAACATGGCAAAACCCCATCTCTAACCAAAAAAAAGAAAAAAAACTACAAAAATTAGCCAGGCGTCTTGGTGCGCACCTGTAGTCCCAGCTACTGGGGAAGCTAAGGTGGGAGGATTGCTTGAGCCTGGGAGACAGAGGTTACAGTGAGCTTAGATCGCGCCACTGCACTCCAGCCTGGGTGACAAAGTGAGACTCTGTCTCAAAGAAAAAAAGAAATAAAGAAAGTTAATGAGTAGGAGTATTGCCTTCCTATGGAATTTGTGTGCCAATTAGGTATCATCTAGGGTAGGCTAATGCAAATGTAGCCTATTTTTTGTTACAATTAAATATTCACCATAATGGATTTTTTTTTTTGAGACGGAGTCTTGCTCTGTCGCCAAGACTGGAGTGCAGTGGCACCATCTCGGCTCACTGCAAGCTCCACCTCCTGGGTTCACGCCATTCTCCTGCCTCAGCCTCCCGAGTAGCTGGGACTACAGGCGCCCACCACCACACCCGGCTAATTTTTTTGTATTTTTAGTAGAGACGGGGTTTCACTGTGATAGCCAGGATGGTCTCGATCTCCTGACCTCGTGATCCGCCCGCCTTGGCCTCCCAAAGTGCTGGGATTACAGACGTGAGCCACCGCGCCTGGCCCATAATGAAATTTTAAACATAGCTTGAAAACAATCACTGCTAAATGCAAACCATTCATCCAGTACCTCAGTATCTTCCACCTCAGACTAATAACAGCCACATTAGCACATGTCTAAGACAGCAGCAGTCCAAATTCTTTCTGGTTTCTCTTGGGAACCATAAAATTTAATTTTTCATGTAGAAACCCCGTTAACCTAACTTTGTTACCATTATTTCAAGTAGCTTGCACACTGTGCAAACATGTCCACAAAATAGTGTATATCTATCCTTAAATTACATGCTTTTGCTATTCACAAAACAATCATACCAATACCAGATATGAAAGCATTTAAAAAATACTTTTTGATGAGTAGATGTTGTTCAACTGGCATCAAAAATAGTGAAATAAGTAAATCAACATTGGAAGTGACTTTCAAAGGTGAAAAAGAACTTCCATTAAAAAGTTATCTCTCCCTCCCCCTCCCCATCCCCCTTCCCCCTCCCTCTCCCTCTCCCTCCAGTCTCCCTCTCTTGCCAAGCCTGGACTGTACTGCCATGATCTCAGCTCGCTGCAACCTCCCTGCCTCGAGTTCTGGTGATTCTCCTGCCTCGGCCTGACATTCCAGGCAGGCGCCGCCACTCCTGACTGGTTTTTGTATTTTTGGTGGAGACGGGGTTTCACCGTGTTGACCGGGCTGGTCTCCAGCTCCTGGCCTCGGGTGATCTGCCCACCTCGGCCTCCCGAGGTGCTGGGATTGCAGACGGAGTCTCGCTCACTCAATGCTCAATGTTGCCCAGGCTGGAGTGCAGTGGCGTGATCTCAGCTTGCTACAACCTCCACCTCCCAGCCGCCTGCCTTGGCCTCCCAAAGTGCTAAGATTACAGCCTCTGCCCACCCGCCACCCCGTCTAGGAAGTGAGCAGCGTCTCTGCCTGGCCGCCCATCGTCTGGGATGTGAGGAGCACCTTTGCCCGGCCGCCCCGTCTGGGAAGTGAGGAGCGCCTCTGCCCGGCCACCCCGTCTGGGAGGTGAGGAGCATCTCTGCCCGGCCACCCCGTCTGGGAGGTGAGGAGCGCCTCTGCCCGGCTGCCCAGTCTGGGAAGTGAGGAGCGCCCCTGCCCACCCGCCCATTGTCTGGGAAGTGAGGAGCACCTCTGCCCAGTCGCCCCGTCTGGGAAGTGAGGAGCGCCTCTGCCCGGCCGCCCCGTCTGGGATGTGAGGAGCGCCTCTGCCCGGCCGCCCCGTCTGGGATGTGAGGAGCGCCTCTGCCCAGCCGCCACCCCATCTGGGAAGTGGGGAGCGCCTCTGCCCGGCCGCCCCATCTGGGATGTGAGGAGCGCCTCTGCCTGGCCTCCCCGTCTGGGAGGTGGGGAGCGCCTCTGCCCAGCCGCCCCGTCTGGGAGGTGAGGAGCATCTCTACCTGGCTGCTCATCATCTGGGATGTGAGGAGCACCTCTGCCCGGCCGCCCCATCTGGGAAGTGAGGAGCGCCTCTGCCCAGCCACCCTTCGTCTGGGAGGTGAGGAGCGTCTCTGCCTGGCCGCCCATTGTCTGGGATGTGAGGAGCGCCTCTGCCCGGCCGCCCCCTCTGGGAAGTGAGGAGTGCCTCTGCCTGGCCGCCCCATCTGGGAGGTGTACCCAACAGCTCCGAAGAGACAGCGACCATTGAGAACGGGCCATGATGACGATGGTGGTTTTGTTGAAAAATAAAGGGGGAAATGTGGGGAAAAGAAAGAGAGATCAGATTGTTACTGTGTCTGTGTAGAAAGAAGTAGACATAGGAGACTCCATTTTGTTCTGTACTAAGAAAAATTCTTCTGCCTTGGGATGCTGTTAATCTATAACCTTACCCCCAACCCCGTGCTCTCTGAAACATGTGCTGTGTCAACTCAGGGTTAAATGGATTAAGGGTGGTGCAAGATGTGCTTTGTTAAACAGATGCTTGAAGGCAGCATGCTCCTTAAGAGTCATCACCACTCCCTAATCTCAAGTACCCAGGGACACAAACACTGCGGAAGGCCGCAGGGTCCTCTGCCTAGGAAAACCAGAGACCTTTGTTCACGTGTTTATCTGCTGACCTTCTCTCCACTATTATCCTATGACCCTGCCACATCCCCCTCGCCGAGAAACACCCAAGAATGATCAATAAATACTAAAAAAAAAAAAAAGTTATTTCTTCTAATCAATATTTCCAAGAGTTTCAACCTCTAATTTTAAATCTCTCAGTTTGATTTCCTCTTTTACTGTCTTTCCTAAGGTGATTAGCATTTGTAATTGCCAGAAGGAATTAAGTCCCCCAAACCGTAACCTGATGAATCACAGATAGTCAGGTCAATCACCAGCCTTATTAAATATTCACTTAAAAGTTTAAGTAGTTGTATTTCATCACCTAAAAGTTATAATTCTACAGTACAAAGGACTTTTTCTTAAATTAACATGAATAACCAGTTATGTGATGATAAATAAACTTTTTAAGTAAGGAATAATCACTCATTGGCCAAGACTCTACTATTGTGAAATCATTAAATGAAAATGATAAAAGCTTACAGTCATCAAATAATTAACATGTACCAAGCACTGTTCTACCTTTACATGAATCAACTTATTTCATTCTTATAAAAATTCTATAGTGAACCTTTATACTACTATTGTAGTTTTATGGACCTAGAAATTGAGATTAAGTAACTTGTTCAAGGTCATATAGTTTGTAAATGGAGGAGCCAGAATTCCAACCCAGGCCATTTAACTTTGAGCCTGTGGCCTGGGATGGAATTCTGTTCTTAACCACTACAGTGTAGTGCCTTGGAAATGTCACATCCACACTTGTTTTGAAATTGAGTTACTGAGGAATTTACCACCTTGTGTTTGGCACCAAAAATATGCCTGAAATGTTAAGAAAATAGAAAGGTTTGTTTCAACAGCAAAATTATGCTGAAATTATCCTTCACTACACCTCCTCCTGCACACCTCTATCTCCTGCCTGAAGCAAGTATCCCGTCTCCATCAGCACTCTTGCTCACTGAGCCCAGGCTGGGTCTCAGAATCCTTCTCAGCACAACATATAATAGTCAACAGTTGGCATGCAAGAGGAAATCTGCACACTATGTCTAGCAGTACACTAAAATGTGCAGTTTCGTATAGCATATATGAAGGTGTCAGTCTTTTCCCTTTCTTTTTGTAATGTCTCTTAGGGAGACATTGCAAGTTGGGAAGAGTTACTTTTACTTCCCTTACTGACAATCCCATTTCACAATGTAATGGTTTAGGTCAAATTCTGTAGAAGTACCGCCTGAGACAGGAAATAGCATGCATGTGGTTTATTGAGGAAATGCTTTCAGGAGACAGGGAGTAAGGAAAACTGAATAAAGTAGAAGTTGCTAAGCAAGGATATTGTCTCAGAGTGTTACTTCAACCTGGTCATACTGTAAAAGCAGGAGCACAAATTGCCACAAAGAGTTGGTTTCTACTTGAGACAAACTAGCTGGCCCTTCTACCCCTACTTTGGATGAATCACTGGCAGTGAGTGCCCTCTTGGGGTGAGGGGTAAGTTTGGCCAGAGCAAATCTCTAAAAGAGGGTGTAGCTTTATGTCTTAGTGAAGCGGTGTCATTGTCTGGAGTAAATACCTGAGATTTGTCATCTCACACCAAGAAGATTAAGGACATGGACACACACAAGGAGTGACTTTAGGAGTGGAGGTTTAATTGGCAAAGGAAAGAGAAAGGAGAACAGCTCTCTCTTTTGCGAGAGAGAGGGATACCCCAATGGGAATTCTGGCCCATGGCAGGGCGCACCAGATTTTATAGACAGGCTTGAGGAGGTGGTGTCTGATTTACGTAGGGCCCACAGATTGGTTAGACCAGGTGTGACATTTACACAGTGCTTGGGGAAGGCTGGCCACTCCACCCTCATCTTATTATGCAAATGGGCCTTCCATTTGGCCGGACACCATGTTGTCTGCTCCTTACTGTACACGTGGCTGGCAAAGAGAAGGGAACATGGAGCCACCATTTTGAACATGCCTAGTCCCAGGTAGCCTTTTTCTATTGGCACAACTGCCAGCATTCACCCATGCAAGCTTCCAGCTTGCTTGTCTATGTCTGCTGCTCAATTTTACAGACTGCTGTTTGTTAGAAAAGAAAATGACTTTGGGGCTGCTTTTCATTAAAAAGAAAACCTTACAGAGGACTTCCTTACCCTCACTATGTGCCTAAATAATTTCTTCTTAACTCCTATATCATTAGGGGACAACATTTAGCACCTAGGAATGTGTGTACTGGCCTGGTAAAGAGGATCTGGATGGGCATGAATAGTGCTGACTACAGTGTCCTTTAATATTGTTTGAAATTTTGTCCATGTACACATATAACCTATTTGAAGTAGTAATTATTCTATACACTAGCAACAATCAACCAGAAAAGCCACGTAAAATATGGCCTTTGAGCTCCTCTGTATCAAGATGTTGGAAGGACAAATAATATGAAGAATCACTAAAGGGACATTTTTATGGGCAAGATCTGCCGGAGGAGGTGCACATCACTTCTGCTCACATAAGGGTAAATACAAATTATATTATATTATTGTTCCTTGATATCCTTGGGAATTGGTTTCAGGCCTTGCAGATACCAAAATCCTTAGATGCTTAAATCCCTCATACAAAATGGTGTAGTATTTGCATATAATCTACTAGCATCATCCTGTGTACTTTAAATCATCTCTGAGTTATTTATAATACCTCATAGAAGATAAATGCTATGTAAATAGTTGTATACTGTATTGTTTTAAAATTTACTTTTTTATTGTTGTATTGTTTTTATTTATTTATTTTTAAATATTTTTAATCTGAGGTTGATTGACTCTGAGGATGCAGAACCCGCAGATATCAAAGGCTGAATATATATATATATGTATATATATATATATATATATATATATGTATATATATATATATCACGAGGTCAGGAGATCGAGACCGTCCTGGCTAACACGGTGAAACCCCGTCTCTACTAAAAATACAAAAAAATTAGCCAGACATGGTGGCGGGCGCCTGTAGTCCCAGCTACTTGGGAGGCTGAGGCTGGAGAATGGCGTCAACCTGGGAGGCGGAGCTTGCAGCGAGCCGAGATGGCGCCACTGCACTCCAGCCTGGGCGACAAAGCGAGACTCTGTCTCAACAAAATAAATAAATAAAAATAAATAAATAAATAAATAAAAAATAAACACTGTTTTGTAGACGTCAGCGTTTTCTACAAAAAAAACTTTGAGTCCCAGCTGTGTAAAAAATAATATTATTTGGTTTTAATTCACCTATTCAATGAACTCATTTCTTACTAATCCTTTCTTTAGTGTCATAATATGGTGTTCCTCTTTGCTAACCCCTTTGCCTAGAATACCTCTCACCTTCTGTGCCACATCTAAGAGCTACCTATCCTTCAGGTTCATGTTCAAACTTTAGTTCTTCAAGAAAGCCTTCCTCTGCTACTCCAGCAAATAGTGTTTTCTTTCTCTTTGAACTTGGTGACATTTATTTTCTTTTTCTTTCTTTCCTTTTTTTTTTTTTTGCCGACTGAGTCTCGCTGTGTCACCCAGGCTGGAGTGCAGTGGCGCGATCTCAGCTCACTGAAACCTCTGCCCCCTGGGTTCAAGCAATTCTTCTGTCTCAGCTTCCCTAGTAGCTGGGATTACAGCCGTGCACTACCACACCCAGCTAATGTTTGTATTTTTAGTAGAGATGGGGTTTCACCATGTTGGCCAGGCTGGTCTCGAACTCCTGACCTCAGGTGATCCACCCACCTCAGCCTCCCAAAGTGCTGGGATTACAGGCGTGAGCCACCACACCCTACCAGTGTCATTTACTTTCTATGCTTCTAATCTTCCATTTACATCACATTTATCTCCAACATTTCCTATCATCCTGGAAAAGAATGTAAATATTCTGAAACTTGGATCTGAGTCTTATATGCATAGCAGGTTCCTAACAAGTGTTTGCTGATGGTTATGATCATGAAAATTGTACTATAGACATCTGTTATGCACGCTGACAGTGGAAGTGGGTCTCAATTTGCTGTCAGTCTGCTCTTTAATGGGTCTCCACTGACTGGAGAATAAGGTCCAGTCTACATAGCATAGCATCCAAGTTTTGAGCAAAAGTCACCTGTCAGAGGAATTCTTTGTCTTCCAGGAAAGTCTTGCTTTCTGTCTCTTCAGTGCTCAATCACTGAGTGGGGGCAGCCCATGAGAAGTAAGGCCTTAGAGTGAAAACAATGATGGATTTCAGAGTGCAAGAAGTGGAGCTGTTGGTAATTACTCTCCTTGCAGGAGGAAACCTGAGATCTCCACATATGGCATGCATAGATATACAAATATATGTATATGTAGTGCATGATGAATGTGACATTTCAAGTCAGTGAAGGAAAATATGATGCAATCGATGGTGTTGAGATGATTAGCTATGGGTTTGGATATAAAAATTTTATCTATATTACAACCTAACATCCAAATGTTAAAAAAAACTGTAGAAAGAAAATATAAAATGATATTTTGGGGGCTTTACAAGCAAATTACTAAACCCCAAATCCATTAACCATTAGATTTTATAAAAATTTCAAGCTTTGGTATGATAAAAAATATATATAATGATAGATAAAAGACAAGTATTAGACTATTAAACACACACACACACACACACACATCATGCATTCAAAAACTAACCTCCAAAAAATTGGGCTTGAAGAAAAATTCAGATTCAAATTTATGAAATATCCTTCTTGCCACTAAGTAGAAAAATGTAATTTAAAATAATAAAATATCACTTTTAGTTATCCATGATGCAGGAAAACTTTTTTTTTTTTTTTTTTTTTTTGAGACAGAGTCTGACTCTGTCCCCTAGGCTGGAGTGCAGTGGTGTAATCTCAGCTCACTGCAGCCTCCACCTCCCAGGCTCAAGTTATCCTCCCACCTCAGTCTCCCAAGTAGTTGGGACCACAGGCATGTGCAGATAATTTTTGTATTTTTTGTAGAGATAGGTTTTTGCCATGTTGCCCAGGCTGGTCTCGAAGTCCTGAGCTCAAGAGAGCCACCCACCTTGGCCTCCCATAGTGCTGGAATTACAGGCATGAGCCACCGCACCTTGCTGCAAACATTTTAAAAATTGCTAACACCCAGTATTGATGAAAGATAGAGAAAAAAAGCACTCAGATACACTGTTAGAAGGGTAAACTGGTGCAGGTTTTTGAGAGGGAAACTGGATTGGAAATTGCAGGGGGAAGTGGTAATCAAAATTTGAAGTGCCCATGTGCCTTTACTCAGAAATTCCAAATCTAGAAATCTGTCCAACAGAAAACTTCACAGAGGTACAGAGGTATATGAACAAGGATGTTTAGTGTGAGTACTGCTTATAGAGCAAAACACTGGAAACAAGTTAAAATTTGCTTTTAGAGAAATATTAAAGGAACCACAGAGGATATCAATGGTTGTGGTTATACACAATGTATCTCCTATATAGTAAATGGTTGTAGTTACATATGGGGTATTGCATGTTATGAAATATTATGGATCCATTAAAAAGCAAAGAACACTATGGTTTTAAATGGGCTAATATGGAAAGATCTCGAAGCTATATTACTAAGGTAAAAGTCAACATGAGGAACAATGTTATAATGATTCCTTTTGTTTTAAAACTTTAAGAAACTTTTTAAAACAAAAGAAAAATCCATATAAATAACATATGTTAATAAATGTATAAACAGGCCTGGAATAATAAGTAAATAAGCAGAGGTCTGAAAAAAATCACGTTATCTTTAAAATTTTTATGTTTTTCTAAACTGTAAAAAAGTTTCCTAGCTATGAATGTTTATTTCTTTTATTATTTAAAAAATATCAACAAGTGGTATCTGGACAATGAGATTATGAGTTTCTCTTTATTTTTCTCTGACATTGAAAAAAATTAAATATTATTTTTAAATAGCATTTTAAAAAAAGGAAAATGTTACAATAAAAAAACAGATTCTTACAGAGTCCTAAAGGTCCCCATGGTTTATTGCTATATGAAAAGAGAACATTGCACAGAAGTTATATTGTATGATCCTTTTATCAATCAAACAAAGCAAAAACACATGCATAGCAATTGCATAATATATTTGCATAAATATATAGTTATATATGTGCACCCACATACCAAACTTTTACTAGTGATTTGTGGAGCAGGACATGAGATTAAGGGGATAGATAAAGAAGGACTTCCAATCCATGAATTCTCTCCTTCTGTGTTATAGTTTTTAATAGTTTCTCATTTATTTTGCAGATTCACTAGACTGTATCTAGAGCTTTCTTTCAGAGAACCTGGACTTTATTCAGTTTTCAAAATGATCAGCTGCTGTTTCTTCAGTATCACTTTTCCATCATTCCCTTTATTCTCTTCTGGAACTCACAGACAGATGAGAGATAGATAGGTAGATAGATAGATAGATAGATAATAGATATTTTAAAAACAGCTTTATTGAGGTATAATTCACATAATGTACACGTTATTCACTATTAAATATATTTTGAAATGTCTCAAATTACTCTCTGTGTTTCTTAACTGCTTTTTTATATTTTTAAAAGAATCTTTTTTTTTGTGGATGCTGTCAACGAATTCATCAGTATTTATCATTTTTTTGAGATTTTATTTCACTGTAGTTTTCAATTCCAGTAGTTTTGTTTATTTCATTTTCTCTCTCTCTTTTTTTTTTTTTTTTTTTGAGATGGTGTCTCTCTCTGTTCCAGGCTGGAGTGCAGTGGCATTAACATGGCTTTCTACAACCTTGACCTCCTAGGTACAAGCAATTCTCTCACCTCAGCCTCCCAAGTAGCTGGGACTACAGGCAAGCACCCAATGCCCAGCTAATTTTTGTATTTTTCATAGAGACAAGGTCTCACCATGTTGTCCAGGCTGGTCTCAAACTCCTGGACTCAAGTGATCCTCCTGCTTCAGCCTCCCAAAATGCTGGGATTACAGGTGTGAGCCACCACACATGGGATATTTTGTTTTCTTTTATTGATTTTTTTCTTCATTCCTTTGAGAATATTAAATATTTTAATTTGCTCTATCATCCATTTTCTCAGGAGTGGATTTGTACTTTGGTTTTTGGTTTGCAGGCTCATTTTGTGGGAAGTTTCTTGTTGCTGTTGCTGTTTTCCATTGTTTGGTCCTACCTCTCCATGTTTGGTGATTTTGCAGTGTTCTCTCTGTGACTGGCCAGGATATCTCACCAACAGAAGCAGTCAATTCCTAGGATTTTTTTTTTTAAAACAGTGTTTTGCTTTGTTACCCAGACTGGTGTGCAGTGGCATAATCCTGGCTCCCTGCAGCCTTGAAATCCTGACTCAAGCTATCCTCCTGCCTCAGCCTACCAGAGTGTTGGGATTACAGGAATGAGCGATCACACCTGGCCCCAATCCCTAGTTTATCCCCTTTCTCCTAATATTGTCTCAGAAACAGCAGCCAATCCCAAACTGACCCCCCCTTCCCTTAGACCTCCTCAGGATTTTCCATGTAACTACAACCTTACAAAAGATGCTGCCTTCTCCCTCTTGTTGAGTGAAGTTCCAGGTTCCTCTGGGGTCCTCTCCCTCACTGAAGTGAATGAATAATCTGACCATAGCCTTTAGCTGATTAGGCTTTAGCAACCATACCTTCCATACCACAGTTTTGTTTTTCTTAGATTATGGGCATCCTAATGCAGAGGCTACCACTTTCTTACATTTCCTGTATATCCTGAGCATAATTACTTTGGGACAGCAGTGATACTCCTAGGGCCTAGTAGGGGGATTAACAGTTTTATCTTTTGCAGGCCCATCCCTGGTTATCTGCCCCTCTGTTTAGTGCTCCTTTTCTCAACTTACTTTATTGTGGGAATCTGCCTTCTACTCCCACTAGGGAGTAAGATCCAAGAAGCTAGGACTGAGGTCTCATTCATCTTTATACACTAGACATTATGCAATCCTTAGCACAAAGGGTAGAGTGATTCATCCTATTTTTATGGAGATGGGCCCTACTCTGTGCCAGGAATTGTGTTGGAGCTAGGGATTTAATTACGGGCAAGATTCAGTCTGTGCCCTCAGTGAGCTTGCAGTCTAATGGAGATTACCAACAACCAAACTGGCAGTTAACAATACATTTTAAGAGCTGATGGGTTTAGTACAGAATGGGGTGGAACACAGTGGAGGAGATCACATAAAAATTTGCAGGCTCAAAAGGACATGCATGACTTAGAGTCTGCCCTGAGTGCCATTTCCCTGGTAAGTGCATTTTTGGACCGTCACCTACACCACCTCATTCTATAATCCCCTTCCCCACCTCCCATCCCCACCCTGATCCCTACCAGCATTTTCCTCTGTTGTTGTACTCACTGCAGTGCATTGTAATGCTGTCCCTACTATACTTTTAAATGTAGGGCCAAAGGGAATTGCTTGGTGGGAGCCTGCACATTTTAAACAATAATGCAGATTTCCTGAATGATAAAATGCAAGTAAATCTGTATGGAATTGAAGCTTTATGCCATTCCTTCAACACAGAAACTGTTCCTAGCCATTCCACAAGCCCAAGGCTATTCTGCAGTCTTAGCCAGAACCCTGATCACTTCCTGGCACTTTCTCTAACCACCTATGGGGATGGAAGTGCTTTTAAACTGGATTATGGTGATGGTTGCACAATAGAATACATGTACTAAAAATCATTGAATTATACAGTTAAAATGGATGAACTGCATGGTACCCAAATTACATCTCAATAAAGCTATTAGAAGTTAAAAAGAAGAGAGGATTATAAATTGCTCTGGGGGGTCAACCTAGAGTGTCTGCCACTGAAACTCTTTAGTTTTTTCTTTCACAACTGGAATCATATTGTACGTATTCTATGCAAATTGCTATTTTCATTTAATATGTACTAGAAGAGATATTTCTGTATAACACATATATTTCATCAATTTTTAACATACAATTTTTCACATCTTAACGTGAAAACCTCTGATATGGTTTGGATCTGTGTCCCCACCCAAATCTCAAATCTCATGTTCAGTTGTAATCCCCAGTGTTGGATGTGGGGCCTGGTAGGAGGTGATTGGATCATGGATGCAGTTTCTCATGAATGGTTTAGCACCACCCCTCGATGCTATTCTGGTGATAGTGAGTGTGTGAGTTATCGTGAGATTTGGTTGTTCAACAGTGTGTAGCACCTCCACCCTCTTCTTCTTCCTCCTGCTCCAGCCATGTAAAATGCTGGCTCCCTCTTTGCCTTGTACCATGATTGTAAGTTTCCTGAGGCAGATGCCGCCATGCTTCCAGTACAGCCTGTGGAATCATGAGTCAATTAAACCTCTTTTCTTCATAAAGTACCCATTTTCAGGTATTTTGGTATTTCTTTACAGTAATGTGAGAATGAATTAATACAATCTCTTATCACAGACTTTATATGTGCATCAAAACCTGAGAATGGGTGTCAGTTTGCTAGAAAATCCAACAGAAACTGAAAAAGAGGAACATTTTTTAAACAAATGCTGTATCACCAATACTTTGGATGGCACACGGGACAACTTCATGGGGAAAAAGCACATCATTGATGACTCTGACTCAAAAGGGATTCAGAAGAGTCAGACTTGCTGACCTAATGTGAAGTTTTTTGTTTTTTGTTTTTGAGATAGGGTCTTGCTCTGTTGCCTGGTCTGGGGTGCAGTGGCGAGATCTTGGCTCACTGCAACCTCTGCCTCCTGGGCTCAGGTGATCCTCCCACCTCAGCCTCCTGAGTAGCTGGGACCACAGGTGTGTGCCCATGCCCGGCTAATTTTTTGTATTTTTTGTAGAGACAGGGTTTCACCATGTTGCGCAGGTTGGTCTCAAACTCCTGAGTTCAGGCAATCCACTGGCCTCAGCCTCCCAAAGTGCTGGGATTACAGGTGTAAGCCACTGCACCTTGCCTGTGAAGTTGTTTTAAAAATACCTTAACTCATTTATTTCCTTTATATTTTCCATTTTGTGAGTGCAAAAGAAAGTGATATGTGACTTATAAATCTAGGTTAAATAAGTCTAAAAGATCTCTTTCATTAAATATAAATATATATTCTACATAATAAAGTATTGTGCCACAGTTCAATTGGCAGCATTTTTTTTTCTTATTGGTATACAAAATAATGTTGGGTCTTACAATTGATGTCACATTAGAGTCAATGAAATACAGTATTATACAGTGTGTTTATTACTTTTTAAAAAAAAATAGAGATGGAGCCTTACCATATTGCCCAGGCTGGTCTGGAACTCCTGGGTTCAAGCAGTCCTCCCACCTTGGTCTCTCAAAGTGCTGAGATTACAGGAGTGAGCCACCGTGCCTGGCCTACTTTATGACTTTTAAACACCATTTATCAAAATTAATGTTCTAGTGAACTCCCTCATACATGCCTCTTTGTGTACATCTGTGTCTCTAGAATATATATATGTATATAGGTGTGGAATTTCTAAATTGAAAGGATTGCACATTTAAAATCTAACTACTGTCCTTCAAAAAGATTATATCAATATAAATGTGCACTAGTAATGTATCAGGGTATCCATTAAGTGACACAAAGCATGTTTTTTATTAATAAATTTTTCCTAATCTGATCCTGAAAAATGTTATCTCATTTGTTTTAAATTGCTTCTCATGTATTTTTGTCTATTATCTCAGGCAGAAGACAATTCTTACAGTTAATTTCCCATTATTTTGCATTTGCATAAGATATTCATTAAGATTATAAACACTTTTCATTTCTGCTTTTAATACTGGTATGATTTCTTAATGTTAAGCTCCATCTGGAATTTATTTTTGCCTTAATGTAAGGTAAGTATTTGATTTCTTTTCCCAATGAATAAATAGTTGTTTCAATATCATTTATGGGCTTGTACATCCTTGCCCATGTGCTTAGAAGTATCTGTTTATATTTGAACTCTATTCTGTTTCTTTGCTAAAAATTTCCATTTCTCTGGAGTAACATACATTTAAAATTACTTATCTTTATATATACGTTTTTTTTTTGTTTGTTTTTTTGAGATGGAGTCTCACTCTGTCGCCCAGGCTGGAGTGCAGTGGCATGATCTCGGCTCACTGCAACCTCTGCCTCCCAGGTTCAAGCAATTCTCCTGCCTCAGCCTCTGGAGTAGCTGGGATTACAAGCACCTGCCACCATACCTGGCTAATTTTCTTATTTTTTTAGTAGAGATGGGGTTTCACCATGTTGGGCAGGTTGGTCTCGAGCTCCTGACCTTAAGTGATCCAGCTGCCTCAGCGTCCCAAAGTACTGGGATTACAGGCATGAGCCACTGCACCCAGCCTCTTTATACAATATTTTAATATCTGATAAAGCAAACCCCATCCATTCATTCTTTGCAAAAGTCTCTGGACTACTCTTTTTTTGGGGATTGTTGGGGTCATGCTCTGTTACCCAGGCTGGAGTGCAGTGGTGTGAACACAGCTCACCGAGACCTCCACTTCCTGGGCTCAAGCAATCCTCCCACCTCAGCCTCCCAAGTAGCTGGGACTACAGGCATCCACCACCATGCCCAGCTAATTTTTGTATTTTTGATAGAGACAGGGTTTCACCATGTTGCCCAGGCTGGTCTTGAACACCTGGCTTCAAGTGATCTGCTCACCTCAGCCTCCCAAAGTGCTGGAATTACAGGCGTGAGCCACCGTGCTGGGGCAGATAACTGTTTCCTATAACACAATTCACTAACTGGACAAAAAAAAAAAACAGTCAATAAATTGGACTTCATAAAAATTTTAAAATTTCGTTTATTAAATGACACTTTAAAGAAGTGAAACAGCAACCTACAGACTGGAAAAGATGAAGAACAGGTAAACAGAATATCTAAAGAACTCTTACAAATCAATAATAAAAAGACAAACAACCCAAGTGTTTAAATGGGCAAAATGAACAGATATTTCACACACAAAATAGATATCTGCTAAATGTATGAAAAGTTGCTCAACAAATTAAAATCATAATGAGAGACTAACACATATTCATCAAAATTGCTAAAATTTAGAAGACTGGTAATTCTAAGTATTGGTGAGGATGTGGGGTAATGGGAAAGAGTGTAAAATAAAACAACCATTTTGGAAAACTGTTTGGTGGTTTCTTTTTTTTTTTTTTTTTTGAGACTGAGTCTCGCTCTGTCGCCCAGGCTGGAGTGCAGTGGCACGGTCTCTGCTCACTGCAAGCTCTGCCTCCCGGGTTCATGCCATTCTCCTGCCACAGCCTCCAGAGTAGCTGGGACTGCAGGCACCCGCCACCACGCCCAGCTAATTTTTTGTATTTTTAGTAGAGACGGGTTTCACTGTGTTAGCCAGGATGGTCTCTATCTCCAGACCTCATGATCCGCCTGCCTCGGCCTCCCAAAGTGCTGGGATTACAGGCGTGAGCTACCGCGCCCGGCCACTGTTTGGTAGTTTCTTAAAAAGTGAAACATGTACTTACCTCATGATGGAGGAATTCTACTCCTAGGCATATCCAGGGGTGTCCCATCTTTTGGTTTCCCTGGGCCACATTGGAAGAAGAAGAATTGTCTTGGGCCATATATAAAATACAATAACAATAGCTGATGAGCTAAAAAAACAAAAAAGCAAAAAAACCCTCCTGTTTTAAGAAAGTTTACTGTATTTCCAAAAAAGACTTGTGCAGGAATGTTTATAATAGCTTTATTCATAATAGCCCACACTGGAAATAACCCAAGTGTCTATTGACAGAAGAACAGATAAATAAATTGAGGTGTATTCACACAGTAGAATACTATATGGCAATATAAAGAAATGAACAGCTCATACACGGAATGAAAGAGTACGCACTGCATGATTCCTTATAAGAAGGTCAAGAACAGACAAAACCAAGCTATGGTGATAGAAATCAGAATAGTGGTGTGTCTCGTGGGGTCTGGGGGGAAGATGACAGGAAGGAGACATACAGGAATTTCCCGAAGTTAAGGAAATTTCTTCACCTTGATCTGGATGATGGTTGCACAAGTGTATATATTTGTCAAAATTCATCAAGCTTTACACTTAAATGTATTCATTTTTAATACATAAATTACACCTCACCAAAGTACTGTTAGTATAAAGAGGTGGAGAAAGGTGATGGTAGGCATTTGTGTGATTTCTGAAGGGGAGTACAAGGCATGTTAATTGGCTCTAAAAGTTGATGGCATTCATGTGGAGTCCTAATTAGAGAAAGGGAGTCAGGCTGGTGGGAGCAGGGGAAAGCAAAAAGAAAAAGCAGATAAGCTGTGAGTCTGCCTTTCTTCATGGTCCAGGACACATAGCCCTCCTGCGCAAATAGCTCACAATCTTCCTGCACCCAGCTATCACCAGTCCCTCAGCTGATAGAAAAATGCAAGTTAGTTCACTGCAACCTAGCCATTATCTGTACTGCACATATCCCTCTCCAGCACAAGCATCATCCTATAAAACCCAAGCAAGCCTCTGTCTCTTTGCAGTCAGCTCCTCTCTTGCTGATCTGCCCATTGCCTTCTTGCAATGCATTTTTACTACTTTCTCTCATATACTGCCTTGGTAAATTCTTTTTTTTTTTTTTTTTTTTTTTTTTTGAGATTGGGTCTCACTGTGTCACCCAGGCTAGAGTACACTGGCATGATCTTGGCTCACTACAACCACTGCCTCCCTGGTTCAAGCGATCCTCCCTCCTCAGCTTCCCAAGTAGCTGGTATAATTCCAGCATGTGCCACCACACCCAGCTAATTTTTGTATTTTTAGTAGAGATGGGGTTTCACCATGTTGGCCAGGCTGGTTTCAAACTCCTGAGCTCAACTGATCTGCCCACCTCGGCCTCCCAAAGTGCTGGGATTACGGGAGTGAGCCATGATGCCCAGCCTGCCTTGGTAAATTCTTTTTACCAACTGCGTCACCAGCCTCAGATAGTTGCAGCAACTCATTCTTAAATCTAAGTTTATTCTGAATCTATTTTATTTTCTTTCACTGTTATCTATTATTAGTATTCATTTCACTTGATAACATCTATTTCCAGAATCAAAATAGAACTGAGACAAGGAGAGAGAAAGAAAAAATACATAATGTAGTATTACAGAGTTAGGAATAGGGTTAATTAGTCAAAAAAAAGTTTGCAATAGAATTAAATAAGTTGCACGTACTGACAAATATAGGAAAAGAAGTATTTCTCTGGAGGAAAGGAAGCAGATCTTGGAGGAAGTCTTTAGAGAGAAAAAAATGAGCTGAGAGCACTAATTAGCTGTATATGACCTCAGGGAAGTCACTTAACCTCTCTGGGGATGATTCTATTTTACAGATTTTTTTTGGTATGTTAAATGAAAGAATTGAATTAAATGAGCTCAGAGCATCCTATTAAAGTACAATATGATAATTAATATTCCCAAGTCATCCAGAAAAGTCTAATTTGTGTTCTCTGTATTTTGTTTAATAAAGCTGAGAAGTTTGGAAAACATTTATTTGTCATGATAAATTGTTATTGATACATTGAGTGTCCACCTCGTGCAAGTAGTGTCCTAGGCAATATACTTTCATTGTCTTGTTTAATTTATACTTTAATTAATTAATGGATTTTATAACTTGAATAATTGGATCAATTAAAAATGTCTTAAAATAACGTGTATGTATATATATTATATATCTTTATTATCATAAAAATGTAATATTATTGCAGAAAACCAGGAAAATAGAGAAAATCATATACAAAAAAGTAATTCTGTCACTCTGAAAGCAACTATTAACATTTTGAAGCATATCTGTTGAATAGAGACAAATATTAGTTAAGATTTTTTAAAATAAAATTGAGACCAAATTCAACATATTTCTATCCTGTTTCTATTTTCAAAAACATGCTTTTTCAGTAACCATATAGTATTCCATTTTATAAATATAAAGGACTAGATAATCCTTTTGGTTGGCCATAAATAAAAGTTTTGACACCAATGATGTAAACTTTAGTTACACCAAAAATTCCCCAGGGCAATGTCGCAGTCAGGGTCCCCAGAGGAAACAGATGGCAAACAGCAAGAGGGTAATTTGAAAAGTGTTAAATACAAGAACTATTTACAAAGGAGTGGGCAGGGATTAGGGGAACCAGAAGTAATAATGTAGTATGTGATAGCACTGTTGATGGTACCCCTTAGCTTGGAGGAGCGAGAGGAGGCAGCAGTTCCTAGAACTTGGAGACAAAGAAACCTCCATGGAGACAGCTGCCTGACAAAAGCTGTAGCTGGCACTTGGTTGAGGGAGTAGCCAGCGTGCAGCGACCCAGCTTGGAGGTGCAGGGGATAAACACCTTGACACCCTCATTTGCTCTGAGGGCCAGGGAGGCCAGGGAGATGTTGGTGTAGTCCACACAAATCAGCCTGCTTAGCCACAAGGCATGGCAGAGAAACGTGAAGAGTGCACCAGGAGGAGCAAATGGAGTTCTGAACACACACTTTTACTTTGATCACGCTTACTTGGCAGAATTCATCTTTGTAATGACTTGATCTGGGAGTCAGAGATAGTTTCTCTTAAGAAGTGATGTTAAATCTGAGACCTAGAGGATGTGTAGTTGCTAAGAATATGAAGAACAAGGAAAATAATACATGAAGTAGGGGGAATAGTATGTGCAAAGTCCCTGTGGTAGAAGGGTGTTTTTAAGGAACTGAAAGAAGGCCAGTGGGTAAGACAGAAAGACAAAGTGGATAGAACAAAGTAAAATAGAGTGAAGATTTTGGCAGGGCAATATTGTAGGTCCCACTAAGGATTTTGGTCTTTAACCTTGAAATGAAAGTAAATCATTGACAGGTGTTAGGATCAAATGGCAGATTAGATTTGCATATTAAGAATATTATTATTCTGCTCTGGGGAGAATGGATTGGCAGACAAACAAAAATGAAATTGAGGTGAGTATAGTATTAATCCAGGTAAAAGTTTGGATTAAGGTGCTGGTAGAGATGGTGTGACACAGACAGGTTTGAGAAATGTGCGGGACATAACATTGACAAAACTTGATAATATATTGGATATGAGAATGTAAGGGTGGGGATAGTGTCAAATAAATCTACCAGATTACTATGCTTGCTTATAAAACTGGATGGATGGAGCCGGACACGGTGGCTCATGCCTGTAATCCCAGCACTTTGGGAGGCCAAGGCAGGTGGATCATCTAAGGTCAGGAGTTTGAGACCAGCTTGGCCAACATGGTGAAACCCCATTTCTACTAAAAATACAAAAATCAGCTGGGTGTGGTGGCACGTGCCTGTAATCCCAGCTACTCAGGAGGCTGAGGCAGGAGAATCGCTTGAACCCGGGAGGTGGAGGTTGCAGTGAGGTGAGATCATGCCACTGCACTGGGCAACAGAGCAAGACTCTGTCTCAAAAAAAAAAAAAAAAAAAAGCAAAAACAAAAAACTGGATAAATGAAAAGCTTTTTGGAATTGGGAAATTATAAAATGGTGTATATAGATAGATAGTTGGCTATTTCTTTTCTTTTTTTTTTTTTTTCAGACAGAGTCTTGCTCCGTCGCCCAGGCTGGATTGCAGTGGCGTGATCTCGGCTCACTGCAAGTACTGCCTCCCAGGTTCACGCCATGCTCCTGTCTCAGCCTCCCGAGTAGCTGGGACTACAGGCGCCCGCCACCACGCCCGGCTAATTTTTTGTATTTTAGCCTGTGAAACAGGGTTTCACCGTGTTAGCTAGGATGGTCTCGATCTCCTGACCTCGTGATCCGCCCGACTCGGCCTCCCAAAGTGCCAGAATTACAGGCGTGAGCCACCGCACCCGGTCAGTTCGGCTATTTCTTAATGAGTTAGAGACCATATGTTCTAGAAATAAAGTGGTTGTGAAGCTGAACAATGAGAACAGAAACCATTTCTACAATTTAACACTTGTTAAGCAATCAGAGGAGTGGTAGGTGTCAGGAGGAAGAACTGGGAGAGAGAGGTTAGAGGACTGACATGAAGCAGACATTGAGGAAAGAGGAATTTATGCAATAATGGCCCAGGTTGCTGCAGATGTGAGAAAATATTCAACTTTTGAGAAAACATAATAGAAAAAAAATAGTTTGGCACAAAAATACAAATAAGCAAGCAAAACAAAATTACTACTTTTCTTCCCCTCCCTCCCCCACTCCCTTTTCTCTTTCTCTGTCCCTGGGGACCAGCGTTAAGGATCAATGGTCTGCCTTCGACAGTCCCCATCCCTAGCTATTTGCTCCTTTGTTGAGTGCCCCCTTTCCTCACCTTATCTTATGAAAAGCGTTCCAACCCTCCTAGACTGTGAGCTCCTAGAAAGCGGACTTAGCCTATTTTTGTATGCTATATATCACATAGCCTACTGTACAGAGTAGCTGCTCATTTGTGTTTCTTATATTGAGGTAAATCTGAATCTTACCTGGGCCAAACTCTGCGTTAGGATCTGGGTATTCAACTGTCAGGGGACTCAAGTGTGAGCAAGACCTTGTCTCTACCATCCTAGATCATACAGTCTTAGGAGGACATTGACACTAAAAAAGGCCATTACATGACCCTCAGATGAATGCGCATGGGGTAAGTACGGGTCCTCTGGATAACAGAGGAGCATGGAATGGTAACCCTAGAGACAACCTGGTGCCATTCCTGCTAGATACCGACATCTCCTATATGAATTTTGGTGGTGGGGTGAGGGGATAGGGAAATGGGGGCTGTGAGCAAGGAGGGAGGTTCCAGGAACATCTTTCACATCCCCTAGTCCCCATTTCCTTCATGAACTGCTGTATCCATCAAGTGCGGGTACGCAGGGAGCACAGTCGTTGTGCCAGGTGGGTGCCAGCACACAGCAGTCATTGACATTGTACAGACTTCTGGAGTAAATGGAGGGATGGATGAAACACTTGTGCAATCGAAATTTTTGCGACTCCTTCCATTTGACAAGTACGGTCCACGCCATTCATTCCCCAACCCAAAGCCCGCGAAGCCCCGCAGCTTACACAGAGGCCCCGCCCAACCGCCCCGCTCTGCGCGCTCCCTCAGCTCCAGCGCAGCAGCTCTGGGAGACACGCTGAACGGTAGTCAAGTTCCGGGTCACAGTGCGCTTGCGTAGGAGGAGCCAGTGGCGAAGAAGGGGAGGAGCTCGCGAAGCTTAGACTGCAGTGACGAGGAAAACGTGGATGGGATAGGAGCAGGAAAACCTCTAGGGCTCTGTGGGGTTAGCGCTCTTGGGGCCGTTTAGTGGGTGTCCCGGGGGTACTCAAAGAGAACCCGTCAGAGACTGACCTTAGTTTACACACGATGCGTCTTTTACTGCTCACATCGAGTCTATTGATTTTGCTTTTTTTTTTTTTCAATTACTTTAGTGGTCAAGAATTGCTGCTTTGCAGTGAGACAGATCCAGATTCCAGTGTCTGGTGTGACTGTGTGTGGCCTTGGGCAAGTTATCTGTCCAAGTTTCAATCGCTACCTGTATCAAATGTAGTTGATTGTAGTTGTGTGCATCACAGGGATTTTGTGAAGATTAAATGACGTCGTATGTATCAAGGGCTTAGCGCACTGCCTGGTACGCAGAAAAAGCCCAGTAAATGGCAAGTGCTATTATAACCATTATCATGAGGTTGGAGGATCGCTTGAGCCTGGGAGGTTGAGGCTGCAGCGAGCAGTGATCGCCCCACTGCCCTCCAGCCTGGGCAACAGAGTAAAACCCTGAAAAAACAAAACAAACAAACAAAAGCCCGGGGGAAACAAATCAAATGTCCCCGTATAAATGATAAACAAAATGTGGTATATACGGAACCTTATTCAGCCTTTAAAAAGAGTGAAATTCTGATGCAAGTTACAACATGGACAAACCTTGAAGACACTATGCTAAGTGAAAAAAAACATACACAAAAGAACACATGTTGTATGATTCCAGTTACATGAAGTATCTGGAATAGTCAAATATTATACACAAAGACAGATGAATAGAATAATGGTTACCTGAGGCTGCAGGTAGGGCAGAAATGAGGAGTTAGTGTTTAACAGGTGCAGAGTTGAGGATGATGAAAACGTCTGGATGGATGGTGAAAATGGTTGCACAGCCATGTGAATGCACTTAATGCCACTGAACTGTACACTTAAAAATGGTTAAAATGGGCCGGGCGCAGTGGCTCACGCCTGTAATCCCAGCACTTTGGGAGGCCGAGGCGGGTGGATCACGAGGTCAGGAGTTCGAAACCAGCCTGACCAACGTGGTGGAACCCCGTCTCTACTAAAAATACAAAAATTGGCTGGGCGTGGTGGCGCGCACCTGTAATCCCAGCTACTCAGGAGGCTGAGGCAAGAGAATCGCTTGAACGCGGAAGGCAGAGGTTGCAGTCAGCCGAGATCGCGCCACTGCACTCCAGCCTGGGCGACAGAGCAAGACCTCAAAACCAAAACAAAACCAAAAAATGGTTAAAATGGTAAATTTTATGTATATTTTACCACACAAAGAAAAGGAGAGGAAAGAAGCCCAGGAGCAGGCAGCGCACAGCGGGAGTGCATGGCAGCTCAGCTCAACAATGCTCTCAGGCGCTTAGGGTCCTTCTATCTTTCAGTTTACCACTCCCAGCATGTGACTTTTGTCCTTGTGGTCATAAGATGATTGCTGCTTCTCGAGGAATTGTGTGCATGTACTAGATAAGAAAAGCCAAAAGTCATCTTCTTGTGAAGTTTTATATTTTCATTCAAGAAAAGGAGCCTAAGGGAATACCCGCCTGCTACTCATTGACAGGAATTTTATCAAGTTGACCTCTCAACAGGAGTCTGGGAAAGTTACTTTTCAAGTGTCTAAAGTATAGAATGGCACAATAAAGGGGAGCTGTGAGGTCCCCCTTATCATGCCATTCTATAGATACTTGAAAGGTAATTTCAAGTATCTAAAGTATAGAATTTTCAAGTACAGAAAATTTGAGGCCGGATGTGGTGGCTCATGCCTGTAATCCCAGCACTTTGGGAGGCCAAAGTGGGCGGATCACCTGAGGTCAGGAGTTTGAGACCAGCTTAGCCAATATAGTGAAACCCCATCTCCATTAAAAATACAAAAAAATTAGCCGGGCATGGTGGTGCGAGCCTGTGGTCCCAGCTGCTCCGGCGGCTGAGGCAGGAGAATCGCTTGAACCCGGGAGGCGGAGGTTGCAGTGAGCCGACATCGCGCCACTGCACTCCAGCCTGGGAGACAGAGAGAGGCTTTGTATCAAAAAAAAAAAAAAAAAAAAAAAAAAAAAGGAAGAAAATTTGAGTAGCCAAATTTTCAGGGAATGTCCCACAAACATAGAGGTTTATTTTGCTTTTTTCCATAAATGTGCTTATACTGCATATTATTTTTTGCAACTTGCTATTTTTTCTTAGCAATATGAATTAGAATTCCTCAGTTCCTTTAGCTGCTGCAAAATACTCTTGTTTCTAAGGCACACTTTTTTATTCACATTTTATGATCTCTCAGATTGGTATGCATCTTACAGTTGCTGTCAGCTAGCAAGGCAGCAATAGTGATGTGGTTGTCATTGCCTGCTGGGTATGCATCAAAACTTGCAGAATGGAGGTTAGCAGCCTGGCATATTGATGATTCTGAGTCTAAACATTATACAGAAGGTTCAGACTCTGAGAAGAGGATTTAGCTATATGGTAATCAATTTATTTCATGAATCCTTTTAATTTATGCATAAGGATAATATGGAACTAAAGATGTCTTAAGCCTTAATTAGCTTTTTCAATAAGTATAAAATAAAAATTATAAATGGCAAGAAAGCTTTGTGTCATAGCTTAATTAGGATCATTTTTCTTTCTTAATGATGTATGAAATAACGAAGGCTATAGCGGGTCACATCCTCGAGTTAATGAAATACAGTGTTCTTTTTTTTTTTTTTGAGACCGAGTCTCGCTCTGTGGCCCAGGCTGGAGTGCAGTGGCGCGATCTCGGCTCACTGCAAGCTCCGCCTCCCGAGTTCACGCCATTCTCCTCTCTCAGCCTCCTGAGTGGCTGGGACTACAGGCGCCCGCCACTACGCCCGGCTAATTTTTTGTATTTTTAGTAGAGACAGGGTTTCACCGTGTTAGCCAGGATGGTCTCGATCTCCTGACCTCGTGATCCGCCCGCCTCTGCCTCCCAAAATGCTGGGATTACAGGCGTGAGCCACTGCGCCCGGCCGAAATACGGTGTTCTAAATATGACTATTCCATAGCTTATTTAATCATTTCCTTTTTGATAGAAGTTAGGTTTAATGATGCTTTAGGAAACCCTTGTGCATGCCCTTTTTTGCATATGTGAAAGTAGTCGTTCTCTAGATACCTAGGAATACACATTTTAACATTCTGAGAGCAACTGCCCTTTAAAAAGCTCCTATCGATTTACACTTCCATGAAAGAACCCATTTTTTCCAAACAGTTTTACATTTTGGTCAATCTGGTATCTGAAAATAGTACATCATTGTTTTGATTTTGTCTTTTAGTGTTGTTAAGGGTGTCTATAACATAGAAGCCAATTTTTAAAAATCAACTTTTTATTTTTGTGTAGTTTTAGATTTACAGAAAAACTGTGAAGATAGAACAGAGTACTCCTATATATCCCACACCTAGTTTCTCTATTGTTAATATCTTACATTAGAATGGTATCTTTGTCACAATCAATGAACAAATATTGATACATTATTATTAACTAAAGCCCATATTTTATTCAGATTTTCTTCATTTTTGCCTAATGTCCTTTTTCTGTTGGACAGTCCCATTCGAAATAGCACATTAAATGTAATCATCATGTCTTCTATACCCCTCTTGGTTGTGAAAATTTCTCAGACTTTTATTGTTTTTGATAGCCTTGATGTTTTCAGGAGTACTAATTAGGTATTTTGTAGAACGTTCCTCAGTTGGGATTTGTTTGGTGTTTTTCTAATCATTGGACTGGAGTTTGGGTTTGGGGGCGGAAACCTGAAGAGGTAACTCTGATCATACCATTTCAAGGGTACAGATTGTTAACATGACTTGTCACTAGTGATATTAACCTTGTTCATCTGGCTGAAATAGCGTTTGTCAGGTTTCTCCATGGTAAAGTTACTCTTCTTTTTTCCCCCTTTTCTATACTGTACCCTTTGAAAGGCAGTCACTGCACAATCCATACTTAAGGGGTGGGAATTTATGCTCCACCACCTTAAGGATGGAGTATCTTCACATATTATTTGGAATTCTTCTGCATAGAAGAGTTGCCTACTCTTCCCTATTAATTTAATTAATGTGTTTATTCCATCATTTATTTGTACAGTATGGGCTCATGGTTATTTATTGTATACTTTGAGTTACATTAAGAATTCAGTGCTACTTCAGCCAGGCATGGTGTCTCATGCTTGTAATCCCAGCACTTTGGGAGGCTGAGGCAGGTGGATCATGAGGTCAGGAGTTGCAGACTAGCTTGGCCAACACAGTGAAACTCCGTCTCCGCTAAAAATAAAAAAATTAGCTGGGCGTAGTGGCAGGCGCCTTTAATACCAGCTACTTGGGAGGCTGAGGCAGGACAATTGCTTGAACCCGGAAGGCGGAGGTGGCAGTGAGCCGAAATTGCGTCACTGCACTCCAGCCTGGGCAACCAGAGTGAAACTCTGTCTCAAAAAAAAAAAAAAAAATTCAATGCTACTTTCTTTTGTTGCTCAAATTGTTCTAGTTTTGGCCATTGGGATCACCTTCAATTAATTCCTGTGTCCCTTCAACACATCTCCAAAATTGTGTACATATTTTAGCTCTTCCTTACTTTCTTTTCTTGTTTGTTTTTTTGAGACGAAGTCTCGCTCTTGTCCCCCAGGCTGGAGTGCAGTGGTGTGATCTCAGCTCACTGCAACCTCTGCCTCCCGGGTTCAAGCAATTCTCCTGCCTCAGCCTCCCAAGTAGCTGGGATTACAGGCGCCTGCCACCACGCCCGGCTAATTTTTGTATTTTTAGTAGAGATGGGGTTTCACCATGTTGGCCAGGCTGGTCTCAAACTCCTGACCTTAGGTGATCCGCCCGCCTTGGCCTCCCAAAGTGCTGGGATTACAGGGGTGAGCCACCGTGTCCGGCCAGCTCTTCCTTACTTTCTAACTTTAAAAAATGCACAATGCTTATCTTGTATATTTCCTACCCTAGTTCTCGAATCAGCCATTTTTTCAAAGAATCCTGGTCCCTTTTATTGGAGAATGCTATTAGAAATCAATATCTGGGCACTATGTGTATAGAAATGATTTTTTACATAGTTATATTTATGAATCTTGTTCTGTATGACTTTGCTTGTAGTATTTTACATAAGAAAGTACAGTAAGTCCTCACTTAACATTGTCAATAGGCTCTTGTAAACTGCAACTTTAAGCAAAACAACATAGAAAACCAATTTTTTTCTCATCAAAATTAGAAGAAAACGATGTTGAAAGACACATTATTCAAGGATCTGCTTTTTGTATTTCCTTTTCTGATAACACAAAGAAGTGCTCTATTTTATTTTAATACCTAGCTAATGTTTTTTACATGTAGCTTTAAAATGCATCTGGAATCTTTCTTTTTATGTGATGCGGAGTAGGAATGTTATTTCTCTGTAAACAGGTAATTAATTATCTCAACTCCATTTGTGGACTAATCAATCTTTTCCTCTATGGTCTAAATGTATGATATTTCTACATGTCCAAGAGTCTTTTCAGGGTTCTATTTTATTCTTTGAGTTTAATTGTCTAATCCTGTTTAGAGACAGGCAAATTTAATTTCTATAAGTTTGTAGGATACTATCTGATAGAATGAGTGCCATCTTGAATCTTTTGCAAAATGTCTTCACTATTCTTGAACATTTTCTCTTGGAGATAAATTTTAGAATCAACTTATCAAATTGCACGTTTACCATGTGCAGTTTTAGCCATTGTCAATTTTATTTTATATTAATTCTTTCTACAGAAATATTTATTATAAATTGGACACAATACTGACAGTTTATATTTAATTCTTAACTTATGAAAACACTGTAAGCAAATCCTTTCAGATGCTACAGAAGAGTAACATCATCTTGTCATCTTCCATTGGTGTCTTGCTTTTTTAGCTTTGCCTATACATACTAACTACTCATTTTGTGGTAGAGTTAAGAACAATAGGTTAAATTATAATGTCCTTCGTTTGTTGGGCATGGCGGCTTATGCCAGTAATACCAGCACTTTGAGAGGCCGAGGCAGGAAGATTGGGAGGCCAAGGTAGGAGGATTGCTTGAGGCCAAGAGTTTGATATGAGCCTGGGCAACATAGCAAGACCCCATCTCTAAAAAAAAAATTTTTTTAATTAGCTGAGCTCAGCAGTACTCTTCTGCAGTCCCAGCTACTCGAGAGGCTTAAGCCTAAGAGTTTGAGGCTTCAGTGAGCTATGATCATGCTATGTGCCATTGTACTCCAGCCTGGGTGACAGAGTGATACCCTGTCTCTAATAAATAAATAAATAAAAGTCCAAAATTTCCTTGTGTGGGAATGTGCCCAGGTCTAAAATGTTTACCAGTTTTAAAACTGTGGAGTCAAAATGGCTTGCCAAAACCAAACCAAACCAAAAATCATCAAACAAAAATGCACATCAATACAATGCTTTATCAGTCCTATGAAATACCATAGTTTATTGATGCATTTCCCTATTGATGAACTTTTAAGTTCTTTTCAATGTTTCTCTCTCTCTCTTTCTTGCTTTCTTTCTCTCTCTCCCTCCCTCCCTCTTTTCTCTCTCCCTACCTCCTGCCTTCCTTTATTGTCCATAATCAAAGCTGCCATGAACATGGCTGTTGGTAATCACAGGCAAGTCTTTTTCTAGAAAAGACACTGAGAAGTACAATGGCTGAATTAGAAATTTGAGTGAAAAGATGAGGGTGGTAGCAACTGATGTTGAAACAGCTGTTAGGGATCAAAACCAAACTCTTTGTTTTTCAGACATCAATCCTCTTCCTCAAGGTTTCACAGCCTCTTAGTGGCAGACCGGCTCTAGTAATAAAGAACAATTTCAAGCAGCTTTATAGAAAGTAACATAGGTTTGCAGCAGCAGTGGTGGCAGTCTGTGCAGGCTGCTGTTGCCTCTGAGTCTAATGCTGAGCCTGAAGTCGCTGTAGGTCAGCCAGTTTGACAGACGGGAAGGAAACTGAATATGGACAAGGTCAAGGACAAACTAAAACCTGTGAGGACAAACTGTGGCCCACAACGAACACTAGACCCTGCCTCTGTCTCTCACCAACTCTAACCTTGATGCTCATGCTTTCATTGTGGGTCAGAACTCAGGGAAGCTAAAGGAGCTGCAGGACCCAGTGCTGCCCCATGGCATAAGGTTAGCCAGTGATCATGACATGATGTCCCACCGCCTATTGCCCAGGAAGACCTTCAGAGTGTAAAAGACATGTCTCCAGCTTCCAAATCTCCACCTTCCAAATCTAACCCAGAATGTCTCTTAGGTCCATGGCTAAGCCAGAACTATACAAGGAACAGAATTCTGGGAAACAGTACCAAGTTAGCTTAGCTAACCTGACGTAGTACAAAGCTGCTGCGTCTGGTGTGGAGGTTTTAAAATATGTCTATGAATACTTTGCTATGGGGAAAGACAGTCACCCTTTTGTGAGGTTATTCAACCAGTGTATGGGGAAGCTCATAAAGAGGATTGACATCTGAAAAACAAAGAGTTTGCTTTCAATCCCTAACAGCTGTTTCAACATTAGTCGCTACTACCCTCATCTTTTCACTCAAGTTTCTAATTCAGCAACAGACATAGATGGAGAGCAACTGAGCCCTCTTACCAAAAACCAGCACTAACTTGACAACTGTGTGTGTGTATGAGCCACCTTGGAAGTCTATTCTCCAACCCCAGGCAAGACTTCAAATGACTCTTCCCCCAGGTGACATATTGCTGACTACCTTAGGAGAGACCTCAAGGCAGAACTGTTTGGTTAAGCTACTTCCTGATCTTCAGAGACTGTGAGATAATAAATGATGGTTGATTTAAGCCTCTAAATATTAGAGTAATTTGCCGTATAGCAATAAGTAACTATACACCTAGGTATCAATTATTTAGAGTAATCAAGTACTCCAAAAACAAGTAGTAAAAGCTTCAGAGGCCGAGCGCAGTGGCTCACGTCTGTAATCCCAGCACTTTGGGAGGCTGAGGCAGGTGGATCACAAGGTTAGGAGTTTGAGACCAGCCTGGCTAAGATGGTGAAACCCCATCTCTACTACAAATACAAAAATTTGCTGGGCATGGTGGCACGTGCCTGTAATCCCAGCTACTTGGGAGGCTGAGGCAGGAGAATCTCTTGAACGCGGGAGGTGGAGGTTGCAGTGAGCCAAGATCACACCACTGCACTCTAGCCTGGTGACAGAGCAAGACTCTATCTCAAAAAAAAAAAAAAAAAAAAAAAAAAGAAAGAAAGAAAGAAAAAAGAAAAACAAACAAAAATTTCAAAATCCATGTATTATGGGCTTGTAATATGTTCACCAAAACTACCTCAACATCAAATTGTTGTGGCACCAGCAAGTCCAGTGGCCAGTACCTTGCAAGTCTAGCCATTTTAAAATCAACAAAGTGGGCCTCAGGAAAAGATGGGGTGTAGACATTTGAAATGCACGAGTCCTGGAATTTTCATGCAGCCTGGATTTCTTTCTGACTCTGTCCCCCACGACTTCCTGACCCGCCACTTTTCTAGGTTGCTTTTCAACTCTGGCTTTTGGGCTTCTCAACAGTTCTACCTGTAGCCTCTTATTCAGCGCTCCAAGCTCCTCCCCTCATTTGCTCCCTGGACAGCTGGATTCTGCAGGTTGAGGTATTTCTATTTCTCTCAATACCCATTTATTATAAAAGATATTTGAATATATCTGGCAATCTGAAGAACAGTTTCCATTTTATGGAAGGGGATGTTGAGATAGAAAATCAACTTTATGTGTGCATTGGTAAGATCATAAAGGGCATCACTGCTATTTCTTGAAGCTTCCTAAAAGCTATCCTTCTGCTTGGCTGTTGTTTGATGTTGCATTTACGAGAAATCTGCAAAGAGGCAGACTGGCAGTCAGAGATTACCTAACAGGATAACTGTACCTTGGTGGAGTCAGCACAGATCAAAGATTATCCAGTTCACCGGGCGCAGTGGCTCACACCTGTAATCCCAGCACTTTGGGAGGCCGAGGCAGGTGGATCACAAGGTCAGAAGATCGAGACCATCCTGGCTAACACGGTGAAACCCCAGCTCTACTAAAAATACAAAAAATTAGCCGGGCGTGGTGGCGGGTGCCTGTAGTCCCAGCTACTTGGGAGGCTGAGGCAGGAGAATGGCGTGAACCCGGGAGGAGGAGCTTGCAGTGAGCCGAGATGGCACCACTGCACTCCAGCCTGGGCGACAGAGCAAGACTCCGTCTCAAAAAAAAAGAAAAACAAAAAAACAAAAAAGATTATCCAGTTCTTCAATATGTGATGATAATAGTTAATATTTATATAGAAACCATCAAATTGATTTACATATAAAATTCATTTAATCCTCTCAACAATTCTGTGATGTAGGTACTCTGCTTTATAAGATCACTTACTTTTTTTTTTTTTTTTTTGAGACACAGTCTTGCTCTGTAGCCCAGCTGGAGTGCAGTGACGTGATCTTGACTCACTGCAACCTCTGCCTCCTGGGTTCAAGCAATTCTCCTGCCTCAGCCTCCTGAGTATGTGGGACTACAGACACGCAGTACCATGCCCGGCTAATTTTTGTATTTTTAGTAGAGACAAGGCTTCACCATGTTTGCCACTCTGGTCTTGAACTCCTGACCTCAAATGATCCACCCACCTTGGCCTCCCAAAGTGCTGGGATTACAGGCATAAGCCACTGCACCTGGCAGGTCACCTACTATTTTATAGTGACAAATTTTCCAGGAAAGTCTCAATTTCAAAGATCTTGTTTCATTATTCTCATTAGCTATCAAAATACTTGAGAAGTTGCAATATTTTAGCACCTGAACTGCATCATCCAGACTGCCTCTACCATCAGAGAGTGGATCCCAAATACATTTTATACTATTTATCCTAATTTTTGGCTCAGAAAATATGGTCATATTAATAGAATGATTTCAGTGTAGCTACCTACCCATGCCAACTTCTGGTGAATACCCTCACTTACAGCCCTTGCTTGTGCCAGGTGGCTATTTTTGTCCCGGGTGATACTGCCCCTCCATCTCATAACAGCTGATTGGATCGGAAGTGGACTTCTAATCCGAAACTAGTCAATTCATAGATTGCCGTCTTGTGTCCTGGCTTGAAACAATGGATTGAGCCCATAGGTTTTGTCTGGGTAAATATGAACCAAGAGACAAGGAGGAGGTTTCCTTGTTGACCTTGGGCTGTGGTGTCTATGATGACCAAGCACAGCATCAGTAAACAGAGGGAGAGTGGTGTAACCATACAGAAAGACTGAGAGACAGCTGGGCGTGGTGGCTCACGCCTGTAATCCCAGCACTTTGGGAGGCCAAGGCAGGTGGATCACCTGAGGTCAGGAGTTTGAGACCAGCCTGATCAACGTGGAGAAATCCCGTCTCTACTAAAAATACAAAAATTATCTGGGTATGGTGGCACTTGCCTATAGTCCCAGCTACTTGGGAGGCTAAGGCAGGAGAATGGCTGGAACCCAGGAGGCGGCGGTTGCAGTGAGCCAAGACCGCGCCACTGCACTCCAGCCTGGGCAAAAGAGCCAGACTCCGTCTAAAAAAAAAAAAATACTGAGAGAAAAAGAAAGTTGGAGAGGCAGAGACATAGAAAGACACACTAATTTCAAATGAGAGACAGAGGAAAATCGGTTCCCAGTGGCTTTTTTTTTCTTTTTCTTTTTGAAAAAGGGCCTCTTTCTGTGGCCCAGGCTAAAGTACTGTGGCACAATCACAGCTCAATGCAGTCACCACCTCCCTGAGCTCAGATGATTCTCCCACCTCAGCCTCCCACCACACCTGGCTAATTTTTGTATTTTTTGTAAAGACGGGATTTTGTTACGTTGCCCAGTCTGGTCTCAAACTCCTGGGCTCAAGAGATCCACCTGCCTCCGCCTCCCAAAATGTGAGGATTACAGGCATGAGCCACTGCACGAGGCCCCCAGTGGCTTTTAAGTTCCTTGAAGTCCTTCTCAATTTGGGTTCCTATCTTTCAACACCTAAGATTCAATAAACAGCCTTCTCCTGTAGCAAGTTTGGATGAGTCTCTGTTCCTTGCCACCAAAAGAGCCTGAGATGAAAAGAGCCTCTAATATCCATATATAATTAGACTTTGGGGAGACTGGATTTGCCAGTTAAAATCATAACAGACAGATGGATAAGCTAAACACCAATTGATTAATTTTCAAAGACAGCTGTACTTTCATCGCAGAATTCTAGAGTGTTGAGAGTTGGATGTTCAGGGCATTTTCCCTCATTTAAGAAAATTTTGTCCTGCCAGATGCATTGGCTCACGGCTGTAATCCCAGCACTTTGGGAAGCCGAGGCGGGTGGATCATGAGGTCAGGAGTTTGAGACCAGCCTGGCCAACATGGTGAAACCCCGTCTGTACTAAAAATACAAAAAATTAGCTGGGTGTGGTGGCGTGCGCCTATAATCCCAGCTACTCTGGAGGCTGAGGCAGGAGAATCGCTTGAAACCAGGAGGCGGAGGTTGCAGTGAGCTGAGATCATGCCACTGCACTCCAGCCTGGGCGACAGAGCAAGATCCGTCTCGAGAAAAAAAAAAAAAGAAAGAAAAGAAAAGAAAATTTTGTTGAAACCAGGCTGGGTGCAGTGGCTCATGCCTGTAATTTCAGCACTTTGAAAGCCTGAGGTAGGAGGATTGCTTGAAGCTTAGAAGTTCAAGACCAGCCTGGACAACAAAGAAAAACCCCCTTTCTACAAAAATAAAAATTTAAAAAATGAGTTGGGCATGGTGGTATGCTCCTGTAGTGTCAGCTACTAGGGAGGCTGAGGTGGGAGGATCGCTTGAGCCCAGGAATTTGAGGCTGCAGTGAGCTATGATCATAACCTGCACTCTGGCCTGGGTGACAGAGCAAGACCCTGTCTCTAAAAGGAATAAAAAAGGAAAAAAAAAAAAGATGTCGTTGAAATCAACTACTATATCAAGACTGCTTGGTGAGCCTGGATCCTAGCAAAAAAGATACAATATGTATAGCTATTCTCAGCAACCTGTGGAGCGCAATGCATCACTCATCTCCATCACAGGAATGGATCTCCTGAAGGGACCCTCCAGCATTTGAAAAAGGGACAAGTCACATGGATGAGTTCTTTATGGTTTTCTTTTCCTAGACTCTGTGTAGACGCTGCCCTTCTGTTAACACTTTCTACAAAGAAACTGTAATAGCTTTATTATTGATAAAATAGCTCACATTTATTGAGTGTTTTCTCTGTGTTTTCAAGAAACCTATTTAATTTGATGTAAGTGATCCAAAGTAAAAAAAAAAAAAAAAAAAAGAAAAAGAAGTCAGTTGTCCAAGGTAGCATGCAGAACTAAGTCAGGGATCAAGGAGAGAGCTGGGAAGGCAGCCACCATATTGCAGGCCTGAGTAGTTACCCTGCCCCATTAGTTTTTAAGATAGTCTGCTCTCTTTGTTTGAGGAGAGACACATGACTAAATTTGAGTTTCCCATGTCTCCTTAGCAGTACACCTACATGTGGCTCATGTCAATCACCATTATTTATTTATTTATTACAGCATTAATTTTTTTATTTTTAAAATTTTATCTGTTTATTTATTTTGAGACCAGGTTATGAGACTGGCTAATTTTTGTATTTTTGGTAGAGATGGGGTTTTGCCACGTTGCCCAGGCTGGTCTTGAACTCCTGGGCTCAAGCGATCCACATGCTCCAGCCTCCCAAAGTGCTGGGATTACAGGCATGAGCCACAATCTTCATTATTTAAATCAATAAAATAACACTGATCATTTGCTGAAGTTAAGACTAGAAGCTTTTATCTACCCAGCCAGGTAGGCATCATATTCCCATCTTAGAAATGAGAAAACTGGCCGGGCATGGTGGCTCATGCCTGTAATCCCAGCACTTTGGGAGGCAGAGGCGGGCGGATCACGAGGTCAGGAGATCGAGACCATACTGGCTAACATGGTGAAACCCCGTCTCTACTAAAAATACAAAAAAAATTAGCCAGGCGTGGTGGCAGGCGCCTGTAGTCCCAGCTACTCGGGAGGCTGAGGCAGGAGAATGGCGTGAACCCGGGAGGTGGAGCTTGCAGTGAGCCGAGATTGCGCCACCACTGCACTCCAGCCTGGGTGACAAAGCGAGACTCCGTCTCAAAAAAAAAAAAAAAAATGAAATGAGAAAACTGAGATTCAGGAGCTTAACTTAGTTCACGTTTATCTAGTGCTTTTTCCACACTGTATCACTTTATCAATCAAATTTCCAATCTGAATTGACCTTCCAATGTCACACCCCAATAGTTTTCCCTTGACCGTATCTGCATGTAAGAAGGGAATCTTCATGGACTTATAATATGGCACTAAGTGGAAAACAAGTGTAAATGATGTACAGCCTTGGCTTTCGGTGTGGTATCATAGCTTGTTTGCTAGCACATTGTAGCAACTCCCCTGGTATAATTTTAGTTTCCAGGCTCTCTGGACAATTTCAAGGCCTCCTGGACATCAGACAAATTATTGTTAAAATAATGAATGAGATGCCTGTAATCCCAGCACTTTGGGAGACTGAGGTGGGCAGATCACTTGAGGTCAGGAGTTCGAGACCAGCCTGGCCAACATGGCGAAATCCTGTCTCTACTAAAATTACAAAAATTATCCAGGAGTGGTGGCACATGCCTATAGTCCCAGCTACTTGGGAGGCTGAGGCAGGAGAATTGCTTGAACCCGGGAAGCGGAGGTTGCAGTGAGCCAAGATTGCACCATTGCACTCCAGCAGACTCTGTCTCAAAAAAAAAAAAAAAAAAAGAAAAGAAAAAGAATGAGGACCAGTATAGCTCTTAGTTTAGGGTCTTTATTTTTATTGGTGCTTCTGCCCTGGATTGTTTTTTGAGGGAAGAAAGAAAGGGTTGCGTGATTCTTTGTACATAGTGAAAACCTAGATCAGTTTTTACTTTAGGGCTATGGATAGTGGGAGTTGGGAGGGCAAGCAATAGTCTCAAAAATGTTCAAGGAATTAAAACACAAAAACGGAAAATTGCAAGTGTTGACAAGGTTGTGGAAACTTGGAACCCTCAAACATTGGTGATGGGAATGTAAAATGATTCATTCAGCTGCTGTGGAAAACTTTTTGGCAGTTCCTGGAAAAGTTAAACATAGAATTACCCTATGACCCAGAAAGTCCACTCCTAGGTATGTATCCAAAAGAACTGGGAACAGGTACTCAAATATGTGTACAGGCATGTTCAGAGCAGCACTATTCACAATAGCCAAAAGGTGGAAGTAACCCAAATATCTATCAAGGGATGAATGAATAAACAAATTATAATATACACATACAATGGGATATTAATCAGCCATAAAAAGGAATGAAGTACTGATCCACGCCTCAACATGGATGAATCTTAAATACAGGCTAAGTCAAAGAAACGACACAAAAGGCCGCATATTGTATGGTTGCATTTATATGAAATACCCAGAAAAAAGTAAACTCACAGAGATAGAAAATAGCTGAGTCGTTGCCAGGGTCTGGAGGAAGGAGGGACTGGGGAATTACTGCTTAATGGAGTATGGATGTTTCAGAACTAGATAGAAGTGGTTGCTCAACATTATGAATGTAATAAATGCCACCAAATCGTTCGCTTTTAAGTGGTTTATGTTATGCGAATTTCACCTCAAAAAAAAAAAAAGTTAAAAAGCCTTCTCTGCCTTTCTCTGGGGTTGGAGTCTTCCCAATGGATCCAGGGCAAAAGAAACATCCAGCCACTCTGTTTGCGGGAGGAGCAAAGGGTGGCTTGTCCCGACAGTTTGAGCTGTTGTGCATGCATTTACACACGCATTAATTCCAAATGAGTCAGCACAGTGTCCGAGACAGGTCCTGGGCTCCAGTGAGCACAGTCGCTCTCCTGGGGGAGGCACGTTCCACAAATTAACAGAAGTTCTGATAAACTCAGCATAGGGGGATTCGCTGTCCCAAGTATCAAGGAGTCCTAAAAGAAAAGGGCCTATTTCAGTCGGGGGACCTGGACTGAACTAACTCGTGTTCATGGCCGCCAAATCCCGTGTGACAAATGTATTCTTTTGTTGTTCATAGAAATAAAACAGTTTTTCGGGCCGCTTCAGGAGCTCCTCTGCAAAGGTGGGGAAAAAAGGCAACTAAATCAGCACGAGGACGTCAGCCCGAGGATGTCAGGAGCGGGGTCGGTGCGGACGGGCAGGTGGGCGGGGGGGCACCCCGCGCCCCGCCCCAGTCCCCTGGAGGCCGGCGGCCGCAGCTCGGGGAAGTGGGGACTGGCGCGGGGCCGCGCTCCCGCCCTCCTCGGCGGCGCCGACGGACCGGCAGGCGGCGGGCGGTCCGCGAGGGGGCGGCGGCGTCCGGGCTTTGTGGCCGCGGCGCGCGCGGCGGGGCCTGGCCGGCCGGGGGCGCGCCGCCGCCGCCGCCGCCGCCCGGCGTTCGGGAGCCCGCGGCCCTCCCGGCCGCCCTGCTTGCGAGAGGAGCCCAGGCCGCCCGCCCTCGCGCCTCGCCGGCCCCTCCCCCGGTCGCCGCGGCTGCCGCGCCGCCGCTGCAGGTAGGAGGCTCCCCTTCCGGGCGGGCCGCAGCCGGGCGGGGGCGGGGGTGGGGGGCGCGGGCCGGGCGTAGAGGGGGCCGGGGGCCGGCATGGAGGGTTTTCGGGCCGAGCCGCTGCGACCCCGGCCTTGCAGGCTGGGCGCCGGGCGGCCGCCTCTGCGCGCCGCGATGGGACTCGGTGAGTAGGGCCGGCCTGCTGCCTACAAAGCCCCGGGGCGCGGGCCTCTGGGGTACTCAGTGGCGCGCCCACGGCTGGGAGCGGGGTGGGCTTTGGACTCCCGGGCTCGGGGAGCTGCTCGGGGGGAATCCAGGTGACCTGCAGTACCGCGGTCTTCCCATCCCGGCGTCCCCACTGTGTGCTGATCACTGTGCTCGGCGCTTTTCCATACTTGTCTCCTTTAAGACCTCCAGTGCCCCGCCCGTCCAGAGTGTAACGGGAGGGATCCCTCACTTGCAGGATGAAGGCCGAGCATCACATCCTTGCTTGACTGACCTTGGGAAAGCTCCTTTACTCCGAGCCGGGGCTACTGTTTCTGTAAATTAGAGGCGGGGGTCGGGGGGGCGTGGTATAATATCTACCCTCAGGTACTATTGTGAAAGATAATGTATGTAAATGATAACAGCTAAATTTTGAGCACTCTGTATGTACCAGGCCCTAGGTACTAAACAGTTGGCATGAATTATCATTGAATCATCACCCTGGCGCTGTGAGGTAGTTACTGTAAATTGCATGAATAATCTTTATTTAGGAGTACGAAACAGTGAAGAATTTAGTCTCCCTATTCCGATTCAGGAGGTTGGGTATTTCTTAGGCGTGATAACATTTAACATTACAGACGTTCCTGCAGTATCGAGGAGAGTAGTTATAGGATGCAGGGATATATTTGTCATACATTTAAAACTGGAGGTAGGATAATATCAGGGCCAGAGAGTGTGCCTTTCAGCATGTCAGAGCAGATGATTGTATTCCAAGGAAATTGCTGAATATTAATTAAAAAACATAGTTTCTGAGTTAGGATTGAGGATGGCTGTGGGAGTCCAGGGCCAGAGAGAGACATGGGATGGACAAGGGGGAGAAGAAGGATTCTGAAGTCCTGGAGGAAGATGTAGAGGAAGGCACCAGGGTTCACCATCCCTCCCCTGCAGCATTGCTGGGCCAGATTTCATCCCTCCCGTAGAGACCCGGGCTAGGGGACAAAGGCTGCTGGGGCAGGGGGTGGGGAGGGATGTTATAGGTTGTCTCTTTTTACTCCCAGGCCGCCAAAAATATTCAGATTGATGGAGGGTCAGGTGATTGGGCCTCCTAAAATGCCATTATCCCTTCTCACAAAATTCTTGTGTTTCAGGGCATGGGGATGCTTGCCAGCCCTAATGGTTGATGAGATGCTTAAAATACAAAGGTCTCACTGATATAATGGAAGAGTGCATTTTCAACACCATTCACTGGGTTAGAGAAGTAATGGGCCTGAGGAGATTATTTTGGGTTTAGAATGGGGAGAACTAAAAAGGCTTTGGATCCTGAAGAAGGAAGAGAGGCAGGAAGGGCCCAGGCACTGCACCTGTGGGGAAAGGCAGGAGAAGAAGGAGCTGAGGACTTCACCCCACCATCTGCAGAATACCCAACAGGCTGTTCAGTTCTCAGCTACCAAGGGGGCACCCTTTCCTCTCCCAGTTGGTGATGATTTGTTAACGTATTGTGGAAGATCAAGGGCTGGACTCAGGCACTCCTGTCCTGAGTGAGTAGGAAAGACGTCTGGGAGAAGGGTGGTTTATTTTGTTTTTAACCAGGCATTGAAGCAGAGAGTAGGTGGGTACGTAGCGATGGTGAAGGTAGGGAACATCATGCATACTTGGAAGAGCAATTGCTTTGGAGAGATAGACAGTTTGGGGTTTGAATCCTAGCTCTGCCATTTCTTAGCTTTGTACATTTTTTGTGAGGATAAAATAATGTTTTTTCACATATCTGGCGTGCAGTTCAACAAGCACTAGTACCGTATTCCCTGTCCGTGATAACATTCATTCAACAAATGTCTGCTGAGCACCAGTCATGTGCTGAGTCATATGTTACATCCTGGGGATACAGCGATGAGTCAGAAATTATGTATTCCCCTAGGAATTTCCCAGTCCAGTGTGGGAGATGGACGCAAAGAGCAAATTGCAAAAAATATGGGAAGTGCTACAGTACAGTCATGTACAACTGTCAGTGAGCTCATAGAAGAGTAACTCATTCTGAGCCAGTGGGAACTCAGGGCCAATCTATATCTAACAAGGTGAGTATGAGACCTTATGACACAGGTTTTTGTTTTTTGTTTTTGTTTTTTTTTTGGGGGGGGACAGTCTCGCTCTGTTGCCCAGGCTGGAGTGCAGTGGCATGATCTCGGCTCACTGCAGTCTCCACCTCTTGGGTTCAAGCGATTCTCTTGTCTCAGCCTCCCAAGTAGCTGAGATTACAGGCACCTACCACCACGCCCAGCTAATTTTTGTAGTTTTAGTAGAGGTGGGGTTTCACCATGTTGGCCAGGCTGGTCTCAAACTCCTGACCTCAGGTGATCTGCCCACCTTGGCCTCCCAAGGTATTGGGATTATAGGCGTGAGCCACCGTGCCCAGCTATGACACAGGTTTTGAATGCTCCTTTACCACCTAACTTTGATCTCTTTTACCTTTGTCTTATCTTTGCCCTGCTAGTCTCTCCTCTCTCTCTCAAAAAAAAAAAAAAAAAAATCTAGTTGCAGTGTGTGTGTAATTTGTAAGCTGCTTCAAACCCATTTTAGAAGGAAGCCGTTATAAAGAAAATAAACATAACAGACTGGGTATTAATTGAGGAAGGCTTAACAAAAATTGCATGAGAGTTGGGCTTTGAAGATTGAAAATGGGCCGGGCGCGGTGGCTCACGCTTGTAATGCCAGCACTTTGGGAGTGAGACTCTGTGTCAAAAAAAAAAAAAAAAAAGAGAGATTGAAAATGGGCCCTTGGTGGCCTTGGGGTAAAGGATTCCAGCCAAAGGAAGCCGCGTGTTGAGTTTGGTCTGGTTAGGTTGAAAATACATGGAGAGAATGAGGGGCTGGTGGGGGTGCTATAATCAGGACCAGATCCGGAAAGGCCATGAATGCCATGTGAAGAGTTGGGACTTTTATCGTTTAGGCAGTGGGAGAGACGTCTGAGGTTTACAAGGAGGCCTGTGGCTTGATCACTGTGTTTTAGGAAGATCCCTGTAGTTGTGTGGAAGAGGGTATGGAAGTTTGGGAGACCATTTTAGAGATTAGCTCTGTCCACAGACATGGGCAGTGAGAATGGGAGAGGAGGGAACAGATGTTTGGGTAAAATGTACCATAGGTCTTGTTAATTAGTTGCATGTGATTGAAGATTACATTTCTGCTTTGGGAAGCCAAGTTGATGTGGCTGACATCATCAGAAATCAGGAGATTTTGGTGTATGGGGAATAATTAGTTTGGTTTTGGCTATGGAGAGTTGGAGTTTTCTGAGGTACCCATAGTGGGGCACAGAGGTGGCTGATAGATAATTGGAAATGTGTTTGATGCTAAGGAGAGAGGTTGAGGCTTGGAAGAGAGGTTCTTCCATCACTGCCACTTTATTCTTTTTCTTTTTTTCTTTTTTTTTTTGTTTTTGAGATGGAGTTTTGCTCTTGTTGCCCAGGCTGGAGTGCAACGGCGCAATCTCGGCTCACCGCAACTTCCACCTCCCGGGTTCAAGCAATTCTCCTGCCTCAGCCTCCTGAATAGCTGGGATTACAGGCATGCACCATGATACCTGGCTAATTTTGTATTTTTAGTAGAGACGGGGTTTTTCCATGTTGGTCAGGCTGGTCTCGAACTCCCGACCTCAGGTGCTCCTCCCACCTCGGCCTCCCAAAGTGCTGGGATTACAGGCGTGAGCCACCATGCCTAGCCTTTTTTTTTTTTTTTTTTTAAAGAGACAGCGTTTTACTCTTTCACCTAGGTTGGAGTGCAGTGGTGCAATCATTGTTCACTGCAACCTCAGATTCCTGGGCTCAGGTGGTCCTCCCACTTCAGCCTCCCAAGTAGCTGGGATTACAGATGCTCATGCCTGGCTAATTTTTTAATTTTTATTTTTAGAGATGGAGTATCACTGTGTTGCCCAGGCTGGTCTCAAACTTCTGGCATCAAGCAGTACTCCCCCACTGCCTTCCAAAGTGCTGGGATTACAGGTGTGAGCCACTGTGCCTGCGTCCCCACTCCCAACTTTTTTTTTAAAACAAACACTTACTGTGAATCTACTATGTGCTGAAGATAGATATAAAATGTAGTTCCATGCCTCGGAGCTCACCGTCAGATAGGGAGAGCCTTCAGGATATGGATAGATCTCAGTGCAGAGTAATTCTGAGTGCTGCAAGAGGTAAATACTTGGTACCCTTGTCCTAGAGAAGATTTGAGAGCCGATGGTTGTAGCTGAGGTGGTGGGAGTGGAGGAGAGTGTATTCAGTAGACGAGAAGGAGGCTGGAGTGGGAACACCTACAGAAGGGGACCTTCTGTTTTTCAACACTGCTTTCTGTGGAAGATACCTTAATAATGATTCCAAAGGCATTTCAGGGAAGCCGTGGGTGGGGATGGTTTAAGATGGAGTGTGGGGAAGGGGAAGGACGGGGTTAGGACTTTAAGAACTCTCATCTGGTTTATAGAGGGGACTGTGAGGATGGGAAAGTGGGGGAGACCTGGCTTTCAACACAAGGCTGGTTCTGCATGCACACAGTCACACTCAGGCGCAGATGATGAAAATAAACACTTCCAAGTTACATGGCTGCCTGGAGTGGGTGGAAAAGTGGTAGAGAGGGAATGCATTAGAGAAAGCAAGTTCGGTGCTAGGCTTGACTGGAAAGCTCTCGAAAAGGAAAGAAAGAAGGTAGAGAGGCAGAGAGAGCTTGGGTGAGTGGCCATCCTGGGCACACAGGTATGTACATGTGCAGGCAGGTAAGAGTACTGTCCAATTACTCTCACCTCTGGATAAAATGAAATCCTGAAGGCATCATAGTGGTTGTGAGGCTCTTAAAACATTGCCATTTCTACCTTCTTTGAACTGTAATGATGTTTGCAAGAAGGAAACGATTATATTATGATAAATCCTTTGTAAGAGGAGAAATTTAAAATAATAAAACATCTAGCAATAATCAGTTAAAAAATGCAAATGGCAAGCAGGTTGGTTATGGCAGGTAATTCCACAAATATTTATTGAGTGCTTGATGTACACCAGGCACTCTTCAAGGAGCCATAGTGAACAGATCAGATCACCTGCTTTTGCCATTTCACCTGGAACTGCTTAACTTGCACAGTTAAACCTGTTTAAAGGCCTTAAGCAAAATAACAAGGTCATCTAAAGTGCTGAGATCACTTCATTCTGCTGTAATGCTCTCTTTCATTGGCCAGTAGCTCCACCAGTCTCATAAATAATCAGAAAATACCAACTATGTGTCTTTGGCAGTGAACTGTGGAAATTAGATTGCAGAAAAACCATTTTAATGGCAGTGCTAACATGGATGACCAGTACTGGATAGGACTTTAGAGAATACCCCCTTGAGCTTTATAATTTAGAGACGAGGAATTGACAGCAAGTAAAGAAGACGTGCCAAGACAAATGTCACAAAATGAATGACAGAGTTGAGAGCAGTGCCCTGGAGTTTTCAAATGGTACAGTCGGGGAGGCTTGAGAGTACCTAGCAAAAAGGGCATCTTGATGGTGAGGGGGTTCTGAAGTGGGAGAGGGGTTGGAAAGCAAATGATGAAGCCTTGATTTCAGACTCTTCTCTGTTACTAGGGCCTTGGGAAGCCCTGTTTTGCTCTGAGCCTCAGTTTCCTCAACTGTAAAGTAAGAGGATTAGATTGAGGTCCTTCTTTAAATTTATTTATATTTTTTCTTTTTCTAAAGCTCCACTCTCAGAAGCAGTGGTAGGGTTGGGCTTTGAGGCCATGGGTCCAAGCCCATGTCCTTAACCTCTATATTATACTACCTTTTTTTTCTTGGAGACAGGGTCTTGCTCTGTCACCCTGGCTGGCATGCAGTGGCATGATCATATCTCACTGCAACCTCAACCTCCTGGGCTCAAGGGATTCTCCTGTCTTAGCCACCCTAGTAGCTGGGGCTATAGGCACATGCCACCTTGCCTGGCTAGTACTTTTAATTTTAATTTTTATAGCAATGGAGTTCTCCCATTGTTGCCTAGGCTGGTCTTGAACCCCTGGGCTCAAGCAATCCTCCTGCCTTAGGCCCAAAGTTCTGTGATTACAGATGGTGATCACCACACCTGGCCAAGGTCCTTTGTAGTTTAAAACAAAGGTTATTTTTGAGATGTTGAGTCAGGAGACAGGCAAGATACTAGGGTAGGAGACAGCCTTTCTTTAGAGCAAACGGATTGCCCATTACTTTCCAGGCCTTGCTTGTAGGGAGGGCTGCCACGTGTCCTTCAGTTCACCCACCACTTCTGAATATGTTAAGTCTTTACCTCCCGAGTTGTGGCCCTGCTTTGTCCTCAAGCTAATCTAATTTCAGTCTATTCAAGTAGGAGTTAAGGTTCCTGTTCTAGATCCCCCCAGTTTTGGAGTATGTCCCTAGGCTCATCTCTGTCACTGTGCTTATCACACTGTCTCGTCACCAGCCTATCCCACAATACATGTGCATTATGTCTTCATGGGACTCTGATGTCCTCATAGGTCTGTGATCTCCTTGATCTTAAGGAATACCATTCTCTCTGATGCCTGCACAAAGTAGGTGTTTGGTTAATCCTCATATATCCTACCTGCCTCTGCTTTCTGTTGATCCCCTACCCTACTGTGGACACATATACATCCTGCTCATTTCTTCCTTTGAAACAGTCTTTGGCTGGGTGTGGTGGCTCACACCTGTAATCCTAATCCCAACACTGGGAGGCTGAGGCAGGCTGATCACCTGAGGTCAGGAGTTTGAGATCAGCCTGGCCAACATAGAGTGAAACCCCATCTTTTCTAAAAGTACAAAAATCAGCTGAGTGTGGTGATGGGTGCCTGTAATCCTAGCTACTTGGGAAGCTGAAGCAGGAGTATTGTTTGAACCCAGGAGGCGGAGGTTGCAGTGAGCCGAGATCACGCCACTCTACTCCAGCCTGGGCGACAGAGCTAGACTCTGTCTCTCAAAAAAGAAAGAAACAGTCTTTGGTGTATACTTCCTCCTTTCCAATAACATTGTCCCCACTCAGAGTCCAGGCCTTCTCTTATCAATTATTTATCTGATGATCTTCTTCAACTCTCTCCATTCATATCCTATACATTCTTAAAGATCTAGCTCAAATGTCCTCTTGTTCATGAAGAATGCAAGTGAACCTCTTCCCTCTTCTTCATGCTCAAGGTGCTTTGTCCTCTCTTCTGGTGTCTGTTTCAGCGTGCCTCTCATTTTAGTTGTCAGTTTGTGCATGTCAGCGCTCTTTCTAGGCTGGAGGGTTCAGCCTGTCCTTGTATCTCCCACATACTCTAGAACAGTGCTGAGCCTTTGGCAGGAGTTCATTACATATTTGTTGAATTGTGTGTGTATGAAATAAAGAGCCAATAACTTGTTATATATACACACACACCATACACACACACACACACACACGTGCGCACACACACAGTATTATTCTACTTTTGGAAGCAGTTTAATATGGGTGGGAAGAGTAGAAAGAACTAAAATTGATTGAAGCTGTAGTCTGTGTTTCTTTATTCACGTTGCAGGACTTTTGCGCAGAGGGAATGAGGCAGGGCCGGGATAGCGGGGGAGTAACTCCATTTCACAGATGAAGCATTAGAGGTTGATTGACTTGCCCAAAGTCACACGGTTGGGTGAGGGGTAAAGTCAGGATTTGAGCCCGGGTTTTCTGCATCCAGTGTCTTGGTTCATTTCACCTCACTTTAAGATCAGCAGTCTATTAATGTCCTGAAGTCTGATTTTCCAGTGCCATAGCTCTTCAGTCATGGTACCCATTCTGAGTATTAACTTCAAAGAACTCCCCTTTCCACAAAGAGCAAGAGATGTGAAATCTTGACAAGTTTCTCTGTCTTTGCTCAAACTTTAGGACTTAGTTTCACCCTTGGTGGACTTAAAAATCACTAGATGGTATATTAGTCTTCTCAGGCTACCATAATAAAATACCACAGATTGTGTGGTTGAAACAACAGAAATTGGATTCTTGCAGTTCTAGAGGCTGAGAAGGCCAAGATCAAGGTGTTGGCAAGTTAGATTTCATCCTGAGATCTCTTCTGTTGGCTTGTAGGTGGTGGCCATCTTGCTGTGTGCCATCTTGCTGTGTTCTTACATGACCTCCTCTTTGTAAGCCATTGAGGGTAGCAGGGCACGCCAGCTTCCTGGTGTCTCTACTTATCAAGGCACTAACCCCACTGGACCAGGGCCCCATACTTATGTCCTTATTTAACCTTAATTGCTTCCTCAGATGCCCAGTCCCCAAATACAACCACTAGGGAATTAGGGCTTCAACATATGGATCTTGGGAGGACACAGACATTTAGTCCATAAACAGATGAATTTTTGTTTTAAGTTGGATAGTAAATGTATGCATTACAGTATTCTGGTGGTTTAGTCAATGTTAGTGTTTTGGAAATTGTGCTAATTGTTTCCTTCTTGTTCTTCTATGGGTGTTGGAATTGTGCCTTTTAATTTAGGCCTATCTATGGGTCTTTGCCTAGCCCAAGGGGAACTTCTGTTGCATCTGGATTTTGCTATTTTATTTGACCATTTCTACTTTAATGCAGCTTTTTTTCATTAAGAGATGGGGTCTCACTGTGTTGTCCAGGCTGAAGTGGGGTGACTGTTCACAGGCACAATCATAGCTCACTGTAGCCTCTAACTCCTTGGCCCAAGTGATCACCCTGCCTCAGCCTCCCAAGGAGCTGGGACTACAGGCACACCACCATACCCAGCTAATGCAGCCTTTAGTGTACTGTTTTGTCATGTATGATGCTGTGTGCATGGTGGGCTGTTTTATGCCTATATCAAAATATCTGCATTTATGAAATGTTTACTGAGCGCCTACTTTGTGAGGGTCACTGGGCTGCTTGTTGCCCTACAACCATGCATAAGAATGGATCATATACTGTCTAGCAGAACAGCAGACACAAGAGATAATGGCTCCTGAGCAGAATTGGGGACAGGGAAGTCCAGTCTATCCCTAATAAAAGTTGATGCGGCAGGGAACGCTTTTTATGTTGTCATTTATAAACAATTATGGACAATTGATGAATAGTTTTAAACAAGAGTATCCTTTCTAGCCTCAAAGTTTCTATTAATAAGCATTAATAAGCTTTGCTGGAGAGACCTCTTTGGGAAGTATTTGTTTTTGTGCTCAAGCGGAATGCCAGCATTCCCCGGAGGCATGGACCATGTTAAAGCTCCAAAAGATCTCCACAGTTACCTTTCAAACATACAGTCTTTTTGAGACAGAGTCTCACTCTGTTGCCCAGGCTGGAGTGCAATGGCTCGACTTTGGCTCACTGCAACCTCCGCCTCCCAGGTTCAAATGATTCTCCTGCCTCAGCCTCCTGAGTAGCTGGGATTACAGGCACCTGCTACCACGCCTGGCTAATTTTTTTATTTTTAGTAGAGATGGGGTTTCGCCTTATTGGCCAGGCTGGTCTTGAACTCCTGACCTCAGGTGATCCACCTGCCTCGGCCTCCCAAAGTGCTGGGATTACAGGTGTGAACCACCATGCCTGGCCCAAACATACAGTCTTACTGGATCAAGGGCGGAAATTATTTCAGAGCTCTGGTTAGAGTGAGGAAGGTACACGTGGGAGGATTATGGGCCCTAAGTTTGAAATCGAGAGGAGGTGATGGAGGGAGGGAAATGAGTGGGGGAAGAGCCAACAGATGGAGACACACTCCACCTAAATTGCCCTACCCTGGGCCCTTTCCCGGCTGATGATTAGAGTGTTAATGCCCATACTTTGAGGAGGGGAATAGAGGCTATCACTAGGTCTGAAACAAGAGAGCTAAGCAGAGCAGAGAGGAGCATGAGCATTGGAGTAAGTCAGACCACTTACTATTTTGTGACCAGAGTAAGTTACTGAGCCACAGTTTTCTTATCTGGGAAATGGGAATGGTAATTGGTTAAGGGAGATAAACAGCCTATTTCACAAGGCTGTTGAAAATCCATAAGGAACCTTTGGGGTACATTGCCTTGTATCAGAATCCCTTTATAGCCAGGCAGAATGCAACCGCAAGGCCCAGTGAGGCCTGCTGTTCTACAAAATTAAGCAAAGTAAATTGGTAACTTTGGATTTACTTAGCTAGTGATTAAATAACAGTTTAGTTAATAGGCTATTAATGGTCCCCAGGTGTTGGTAATTCTGAGCATTTGCTTTTAAGAGCAGTCGTATAATTTCTTCTGGTACTTTATATATGTAAATTTATATATACATGCATATGTATATGTATTTTTAACAGAAAACATTGAAGTATAACAAACTGTGCTCTCAGAGGCTATTTTTGGGAGGGTTAAATGATATTGTGCATATTAAACATTTGTTACGCCTACAGTAAGGGCTCAATACAAGTTATCTGCTATTATATTATTGCTATCATTATTATTACTCTGAGACTCAACTGGCCACATGTAGGGCAAGAACCTTTGTGAAATTTAGACTCCCCACAAGTCCACCACCACCTAGTGGCAGCTAGAGGTACTGCACACATCTTGAGGAAGAATTACATTGCTTGGAATTAATTCCATGTAATTTCAGTCCCACCAAGGATCACAGGACCTTTGTTCAGAGTGTGGCTTACTTACCTCAGAGCTGAAATTCATATATCATTAATCAATGAAGTGACATTTTTTACTTCCACAGTTGGCACAGAATAAAAAAACAAAATAGGGAGATGGACATGCTCATGTGCTGTTAATAGAAATGTAATTGGTGCAACATTTTACAAGGACAAGTTGGGGATATAACATAAGTCTTAAGTGTTTTTATCTTTTGGTGGAGAAGTCCTAGGAATTTATCTTGAAGAACTAAAATAGAAAAAAGAGATTTATTTAGAAAGTGTGTGTGTGTGTGTGTACACACACATATAATGTATATGTAAAAGAGCATTACATATAACAACAAAATGGGGAGTAATCCTTTTTTCATTTGTGAATCAGAGTTCTTAATCCTTACAGCAGCAATTCTTAGAAGTGGGGAAAGTTGGCATATTGACATCTGGAGCAGAGACATTGAGGTTAGGGAATTGGATCAGAATCTGCTGTGTAAGCTGTGTAATTTAAGAACAGGCAGTGTACCTATTGATTTCCTAACAAAAACTACAGAAAGTTAAGCTGGACATAGACATCTTGGCAGATAGAGATAATACAGAAGAGAGATATTGTACAGGGTGTATGTTAATAAATTTCAGTTTGGGGAACATTGATTCATAGGGAATAAAAGTATGGGTGAAGGTAAAAAATTAATTTGGGACCTTTGAGGAAGAAGGAGCCTGGATTGGGTATCATTGTATGGATATTAGAGCAACATGATCAAAACAGAAGCATGGGAATTTAGCATTATAGGGACACATCCCCAAAGATAAATGTCCGCTCATTTAGCTTTGCTCAGGATCTGAGGGCCAAACCACCTTTGACATGTGTCCGAACCTCCCAGTGTCTGATACCTGATGTGTCCAGTATGAATGTAGAGCAGGGTACCTGGTATTTGGAGATACGGATTACCCTCGTACTTCATTCTATTAATAACAACTTTTAGGATGAGGCAGTGCGTAGTGAGAGACCGTGATCAGGTTCTGTCACCCTCATGTAAAGACCACACTCCTTGGCGTCAATTTGAAGGGTCTCTGATCTGGCCCAGTCCTCTCCAGCCTCAGTCAAACAGATTTCAGCCATTCACAACTACAGAAACCCCTTCCCAGGCATAGTGCGTGAGTAGCCGGCTTGAAATAGTGTGATTCAAAATTAGTGTACTGTAAACTTAAAAGTCACAGCCTCCCCTGCTTAATTTTTTATTATGGAATTTTAAAACATAACAAAGGTTGAGAAAATAATGAATCCTTGTGTACATATGACCTTTGATTTCAAATTATTCCATTTTTGGCTTGTGGGGCTCTTTTCAAGTTGGTTCCTAATTTTTTTTTTTTTAATTTTTTTTTCGAGACAGAGTCTTGCTCTGTCATCCAGGCTGGAGTGCAGTGGCGCGATCTCAGCTCACTGCAAGCTCCGCCCCCCGGGGTCAAGCAATTCTCCTGCCTCAGCCTCCCGAATAGCTGGGACTACAGGCGTCTGCCACCACTCCCAGCTAATTTTTTTTTTTTTTTTGTAATTTTAGTAGAGACGGGGTTTCACTGTGTTAGCCAGGATGGTCTCCATCTCCTGACCTCGTGATCCGCCCGCCTCAGCCTCCCAAAGTCCTGGGATTACAGGTGTGAGCCATTACGCCTGCCCAGTTCCTAATTTTTTGACATGATTGGTCAGTTTTAAATGGACTGCCTCATCAGTATCTTGATGCATGCCTGTTACTCTGAGAAATCAGAGGCTTGGAGAATGTAAGAAGGACTGGGAATACGTAGGCCCTTCCCAACTAGGGGAACGATAATGCTTACTTTATTGCCGCAGTCAGTGTTGCTTAGCTACATTTTTGCCGTAACATATTTGAGAGGTTAATTTTATAGGAAGCTTTCTGTGATTGAAAGATATGGGAATAGCGTGCAGTCCTAAAACACACATAGGTTTCATACACTTCACTGGAAGAAGACATTCACTAAGCACCTGTTGTGTGAAACATGCTGACCCGGCACTGTAGAGGATGACAAAGTGACTTATGGGAATCATGGTTGAATCATTTGGAGTGACCCAAGGCAAGAGGCCGAGAAACAGCTGTGGAATGATTCTAAGAATACCAGACTCCTAGGGCAGTCCAAGCTCTGGACTTTCTATGTCACCATCTTTGTGATCTTGTGCAATCCACTTCACCTTTCTGACCCTTTCTTCTCTCAGCTGGAAAGAGACTTGAGGAATGTAAAGAGGGACACTGGACTCAGTCTCTTAAGTGCCTAGGCCCTTTCACATCTGAAATTACATACATTGTTTACTTAGGATTTTAAAAAACAGCCCGCATACCTGAAGGATCACAGACTCCAACCCCTCATTTTAAAGATGAAAAAACTGAGGTTGCCATTGCTCCAGGTACATGCCACAGAGTGATGAAAACGTCAAATTTTTTTTTTTTTTTTTTTGAGACAGTGTCTCCTTTGTCATCCAGGCTGGAGTGCGGTGGTGCAAACATGGCTCACTGTAGCCTCGACCTCCTGGGCTCAAGCAGTCCTCCTACCTCAGCCTCCCAAGTAGCTGGGATTACAGGTGCATGCCACCACACCTGGCTATTTTTTTTTCTTCTTTTTCTTCCCTTTTTTTTTTTTTTTTTTTTTTTTTTTAGAGACAGGGTTTTGCCTTGTTGCCCATGCTAGTCTCGAACTCCTGGGCTCAAGCAATTTACCTACCTCAGCCTCCCAAAGTGCTGGGATTACAGGTGTGAGCCACTGTGCCCGGCTGTACATCTTTTTTTTTTTTTTTTTTTTTTGAGATGGAGTCTCACTCTGTCACCCAGGCTGGATTGCAGTGGCACGATCTTGGCTCACTGCAACCTCCACCTCCCGGGTTCAAGTAGTTCTCCTGCCTCAGCCTCCTGACTAGCTGGGATTACAGGCGCACGCCACCACGCCCAGCTAATTTTTGTATTTTTAGTAGAGATGGGGTTTCACCATGCTGGTCAGGCTGGTCTGGAACTCCTGACCTCGTGGTCCGCCTGCCTCAGCCTCCCACATCATATTTTATATTTGAGTACACGGTGGCTTCTTTTGTCCTCAGCTGTGACAAAAGTTTTGGAAAGCTGTTTAGTTCTAAAACTGGCTAACATGATTTGGGGGAATAATCAGTTCCCTAATATTAAAGAAAAATCAATTAACAAATCAGAGTCTAGGCCGGGCGTGGTGGCTCACGCCTGTAATCCCAGCACTTTGGGAGGCCGAGGCAGGCAGATCACTTGAGGTCAGTAGTTCGAGACCAGCCTGCCCAACATGGTGAAACCCTGTCTCTACCAAAACTACAAAAAAAAAATTAGCCGGGCGTGGTGACAGGCACCTGTAATCCCAGCTACTCAGGAGGCTGAGGCAGGAGAATTGCCTGAACCCGGGAGGTGGAGGTTGCAGTGAGCTCAGGTCGTGCCACTGCACTCCAGCCTGGGTGACAAGAGCGAGACTCCGTTTCAAAAAAAAAATGTTCAACTTTTCTTTTTTTGCTGTTATATACCAGATAGTCACAGTATAGCCACAACAATCCACTTTGAAATAAAACCCCATTCCTAGTACATTTCTAAATATTCTCCAGAGTCCTGAATATCATAATTCAACCTTAATGGAAAAGAAAGTACTGTATTTCAGACAAGGGAATCAAGTCAGGAATTAAGCTTCAGTGATTTATAGGCATTGTTTTTGCTGGAGTTGGTAATCATTGCTTCAAACTTCCTTTTACAGGATAGCTAGCGGCCAGGAGAAATACAGTGGAAAATGCAAAACAACGAAATTATAAAGCCTGCCAAATACTTCTCAGAATTGGAAAAGAGCATCCTGCTGGCTTTAGTAGAAAAGTATAAATATGTGCTGGAATGTAAGAAAAGTGATGCGCGAACTATTGCCCTTAAGCAGCGTACCTGGCAGGCGCTGGCCCACGAATACAACTCTCAGCCCAGCGTGTCCCTGCGGGATTTCAAACAGCTGAAGAAGTGCTGGGAGAACATCAAGGCTCGGACCAAAAAAATTATGGCCCATGAAAGGAGAGAGAAAGTGAAACGGAGCGTCAGCCCTCTCCTGAGTACCCACGTCCTAGGGAAGGAGAAGATCGCCAGCATGCTGCCGGAGCAGCTCTACTTCCTGCAGAGCCCCCCGGAGGAGGAGCCCGAATACCACCCCGACGCCTCAGCCCAAGGTATCCGTTCCTGATGCCAGTGTGCACGCTCTCACTGGGTATCTGTTTGACATTTTAATTTTAAAACCCTCCACTTTGAGGGAACTTCTAAAAATGAAACTTTTGTATCAAATCCAATTTTCCTAATTCAAGATCTCAGGATTATATAGGACATTCAAAGTCTTATAGAAGTGGGCGTGGTGGCTCGTGCCTGTAATCCCAGCACTTTGGGATGCTGAGGCGGGAGGATGGCTTGAGCTCAGGAATTTGAGACCACCCTGGGCAACAAAGTGAGACCCCTGTTTCTACAAAAAATAGAAAAAATTAGCTGGGCATGGTAGCATGCACCTGTAGTTCCAGCTACTCGGGAGGCTGAGGCTGGAGGATAACTTGAGCCCAGGAGGTGGAAGCTGCAGTGAGCTGTTATTGCGCCACTGCACTCCAGCCTGGGTGACGGAGTGAGACCCTGTCTCAAAAAAAAAAAAAAAAAAAAAGTAATATATAAAAACAAAAGTACTTGTTTACATCATTGTGCTAGCTCTCTTGGAGACTTTATTATTACTTAAACATAAAGAAAAATAAGGGACTGGATTAATGGAGTTCTTATTAGTGAGGTGCTGCAGTTGCCTATCAGCCTGTCTCAAATATGTTAAAGAGAATTGTATGAAGATTTGTATTCATCCACTCAATTTCACTTTTTTCAAAAAATATTTTTGGAGGTCCTTATTATTTGCAAAGCATTGCAGTAGGCCACTCAAAAGGCCATATTAAAAGAGTCAACCGGCTGGGTTCTGTGGCTCATGCCTGTAATCCCAGCACTTTGGGAGGCTGAGGTGGGCGGATCACCCGAGGTTGGGAGTTTGAGACCAGCCTGACCAACATGGAGAAACCCCGTCTCTACTAAAAATACAAAATTAGCCGGGCGTGGTGGTGCATGCCTGTAATCCCAGCTACTTGGGAGGCTGAGGCAGGAGAATCGCTTGAATTCGGGAGGCAGAGGTTGTGGTGAGCCAAGATAGCACCACTGCACGCCAGCGTAGGCAACAAGAGCAAAACTCCATCTCAAAAAAAAAAAAAAGAACTATTTCAAACTTTAAAAAAAGTGCAAAGAATAATATGATAAACGCCTGTTTTAGCATTCACCCAGATTAAAAACCAGCATTTTTTGCCATTATACTATTGTGATCCACAGTTTTGGTTTGTGGCACCCCAGGGATCTTGAAAAGCTCCAAAAGAAATTAACTTTAAGTTTAATATACTTCCATTAAAAAGAGAAAAATATGTCATACATAATTCTTGGGGAAAAAAACACTGTCATATAATGAAGGATGCAATGATAGTGTGTCATAGCTTCAAAAGGTTGGAATTTAGGGGCTATTGAAATGTCTCTAGGCAAGGGGAGGGTGGAAATGCACATAGATAAATTTCCAGAAATTCCTGCTTCTTTTCAGACAGGAAGTGGCCAGTTTATATAAAAATTAATTGCAGTTTGCAGAAGACAGACATTGAAGCAGAGGATGTTTCCTGGTGGGGGACAGAGGGTTGTTCATAAGGTGCTTCAAGGACCCAGCAAGCACTTCCCCAGGAAAATCTGGTTCTCAGCTTGCAGAATGGGAAATTCAATTGTCAGTGCCTCCAGAGTAGACTGAGCTCTGAGGGACTGGCTCCTGTTAATTAAAAGTAACAAGAAGCAGTCTAAAGCCAGGAATGTTGTCTGTGTAGAGTGGAAAAGATAATTGCCAAGTGAATCAAATACATGTTTTTGATTAGCACCTTTTTTTCTGTCCTGTAGGCAGACGATCCTGGAGAAGCAAATTATGATCAAAAGTTTGCTTACTGATCATTTGACCAAGGTTAAGTCCAGGAAGCCAGTTGCGTAACCATAGTGGTTTATGTTATGAACCTCATGCATCGATTTCCAGTGTGGGAACCTCATACATCGATTTCCAGTGTGGGAATGTTGTGTCTGAGTTTTGATCCCTGAGTTCCCAAGCCAGGGTACCTCCTAGCAGACAGTTTATGGGGGCTCTGTCAGCTCTCTCTCTTATCACTCCTCATTGCTGCTTCTGTAGTGCATGGGCCCCCACAGCTAATTAATGGTGTCCTTGTTTTGGAGATGTTTATAGCTTTAGCCAGTTACTCTGTTCCTCTCCATCTTGCTGGCTTCAGAGCCATTCAGCTTCTGTGAGGTTGTGGAGGAGTGTGCTGGGGGAGGGAAGGAATGGATCAGCAGGGCTGCTCTTTACATTGCTTATGTTCCCTGGGAGATATTGCTGAGGACCATGCTGGTGTGAGCTGCCTTCTGTTCATTTTGCAAACCTGTGATCTAGATTATTGTGTATTGAATACATAGGGTTATTCTTAGGGGGCCTGGACAGTCTTGTTTCCCCATTTTCAAATTCTGGGGTGGGATCTAGGGAAGTTCATCCCACAGAGTTTTTTCTCTTTCTCTTTGGAAGAAATGATGTAATTCATTTACTCATAAACGTAATTTATAAATTTTCAGCAAGAAGGGAATAAAGGTACATTCTCAGTGTTTTTCTTATAGTAACATTTAATAGTGACTCAAGTATAAACGGATTTATTTTAAATTGGATGTTTGTACATAGATGACACTGGGGACTTCCCTTTTTGCTGGTGATTATTAAAGCATAGCCAAATGCTCCTTGCTCCTGTGTCCAGGTCCCATCTGGAGGGTGGTGGAGAACCTTGGTGCTTTGTCATTTGGGAAGTGTGTCCAAAGGTAATCTGTTAATACTAGTAGGTAGGGTACTGGTACTCTTTCTATACAGTAAAACAACTTTGAGTTCATTTCACTCATTTTGCATTTCAGTTTTCTTTCAAGAAAGAAAAAGAAGCCTGGAATTGTCAATCATCCTTTCTGGGACTTGGTAGGAAAAAGGTGGAAAATCTGCTATAGAGTTATGGCCCTCATTACATCTTGTGTATTTGACATAAGGAATGTGTGTGTGTGATCTTTCTATTTCTAACACTGTGCTGTCTAATACAGTTGTCACAAGCCACATGAGGCTCATAGGCACTTGAAATGTGGGTAGACCACATTAGGATGTGCTATAATTGTGCACACCACATTTTGAAGACTTAGTACCTAAAAATGTAAAAAAACTCATTAAATAATTTTTATATTGTTACATGTTGAAACAATAATATTTTAGATATGTTGGATTAAAAAATATATTACCAAAATAAAATTTCACCTTTTTTTATTTTTCTAATGTTGCTCTGAGGATATTTAAAATTATATAAATAGCTTATATTGTATTTCTGTTGGACAATACTGTTCCAACACCTTACAGGGTACCTGTTACAGAATTAGGTACTCAGAAATTTATTGGAATTTATGATAAAACTGTTAAACAGGATGGACTCTAATAGTATTCCACTAGAGGCCTCCCTGCAACTACTTTTTGGTATGAGATAGTTTCAACTGTGTCATCTTGATCACTGTCCCTTGGATATACTTAGCTTTGTCAACAACTTTCTGAAAATGTCCATCTGCATTCGAACACACTAGTCTTAAAATTTAAGTATAACACTTAGGAATATATTGATATTTGCCAAAAAACCCCAGTATTTCCTCCTTAAATATATTAAAACAATTTACACCCTGCAGATTTTATGATGTGTGATAATTTGGCTTTGACACTTATCTTCCATTATTTTGAGGGCAACTGTGTACAGAACCAACTAAGGGAGCCAATAAAATTCGCTAGGAGTGGCTGGGAGGCTAGGATGACCAAAGGTCAAATACATTTAAGAAAACTAAGCTTTAGTGTAGCACCTAGATGTCTTAGGATAATTTATATTTAATTTCACATTCTATGCTCTAAAGTGATACTTGATAACTGTGAACATTTCTTAATAAATGCCATTATTATTACTGTTCAATCCTAATCTTTGGGGGTGAGATCTCTGGTACCAGAGGGCTGAGTTACACTTCCAGTCATGGCACCCCAGCCTCACTGGTCTGTGAAAAGCCTTTCTTTTGTTAGTTACGTGTTTGTTCTATTTTTATTCCATTCTTTCATTCTCTTCTCCTGCATCTGAATCATTCTAACGCGCTTGCATATCCTTTTACATGTGTTTTGTGTGCATCTATTTTAAATTTATGTAGATTTAAATTTGTGCTAGGGATACCATTTTCTCTCTTTTTTCACTTAGAATACTGTTTTTAAGATCAATTCCTAGGCCGGGCACAGTGGTTCACACCTGTAATCCTAGCACTTTGGGAGGCCAAGGCAGACCGATCACCTGAGGTCAGGAGTTCAAGACCATCCTGGCCAACATGGCAAAACTCCTATCTTTACTAAAACTACAAAAATTAGCTGGGCCTGGTGGCGCACACCTGTAATCCCAGCTACTTGGGAGGCTGAGACGGGAGAATTGCTTGAACCCTGGAGGCGGAGATTGCAGTGAGCCAATATTGCACCACTGCACTCCAGACTGGGTGACAGAGCCAGACTTCGTCTAAAAAAAAAAAAAAAGATCAATTCCCACTGCAGTGTGTAAGTCTAGTTTCTTTCTTTTAATGTGTTATATATACTCCATAGCATGCATCCACACATCTTATTTATCCCCTTTCCCAGTCAGCCCTATTTCCTGTATCTGGGGTTTGGCCTGTTTACAGTTTCCTTCCCATCCTTTTGCTGTCATAGTAGGCTTTTCCTGCTGATATTAAACTTACTCCAGTTGTCCAAGTGAAAGAAAAGCCCCTTGGCTTTCCTGGTCCCAGGAAAGCTGTTGGGATTTCCTACCCTTTTTGCATAAGATTGAGTTGTTTTCTCCTTCAGGTGGCTTTGTTTTTACCTCTGAGAGAGATTACATGGTGTGTATTTGCAGCACAGTGCCATTCCTAGGCTAGTCTTTTTCCAATTAAGACAAGATTCTTCCCATCTGAACAGTAGTTTCTATTCATTGGAGCTAATATGTGTGTGAAAGTTAATTAACTATACCATTGAGCCTCTCTAGTTTAAAGCCCTGTTTTCTGCCAGAGTCTTCTTAAGAGGCCTGGCTTTTTTTTTCCTTTAAAATTTGGATGTTAGCACACATTTAAACTAAAAAGAGTAGTTTTAAAGAAGAGTCATTTTTCTGCTCCCGGACACAAACATACTGTCTTTTTATGTTCACAGCTCTAGAAATTTAGAGATCAAAATGCAGGATACACGCCCATATTCTTAATAAGAGATGGTTTTTTAGTGGATACAATTTGGAGGCTACATTTTAAGATATGCAAGTGATCAGCTGAGCAAGTGGAAGAGTGGGAGGCTGATTATTGTAGTGGTTGAGTTTGGATTTTGGAGTCATACAGACTTAGAATCCTGGTTCTTTCAACTAGTCATGTGACCTTGGATATTGTATTTGGTTTTCTATAATAATACCTCCCTCATAGGGTAAGGATTAGATGAGGTAATGCTATAAAGCACTAGCCTAGGACCTAGTTAGCTGCTCAAAAAACAGTAGGTGCTATCATCATCATTGTCATCACCATATCATCATCAGGTCTCTAAAGCCTGGAATTGTTGAGATGAAAGTGAGCCTTTAGAAATTGGAAGAGGCCGGTGCAGTGGCTCATGCCTGTAATCCCAGTATTCTGGGAGGCCAAGGCGGGCCGATTGCTTGAACTCAGGAGTTTGAGACCAGCCTGGGCAACATGGTGAAACCCCGTCTCTACCAAAAATACAAAAAATTAATCAGGCTTGGTGGTGTATGCCTGTAGTCCCAGCTAGTTGGAGGCTGAAGTGGGAGGGTCACTTGAATCTGGGAGCCAGAGATGGCAGTGAGCTGAGATCACGCCACTGCCCTCCAGCCTGGGTGACAGAATGAGACCCCATCTCAAAAAAAAAAAAAAAAAAAAAAAAGAAGAAGAAGAAATTAAAGAAATTGGGCGAGACAGCAGCATTGTGAGGGGATGAACTTTAAGGACTCAGAGGAGTATCCAGAACTATCCCCTGGAATGAAATCAAAGAGAAAAGAGACTAGAAGTACCACAAAATGTCTAATGTGTCCAGTCTTCAAAGAAGACATTTTCAGATCCAAAACTAGAAAGGAAACAGGTGAGGTAATGCTCTTTGCAGTTGAAACTCACACCTGAGGGCCCTGTTCTCAGTGTTAACCCTCTCCCATTCCTTTGTCCTGTGCCTTGGTTACCCACACAGAGCACTGTTCCTTCTCCATGGTTGGGCGTGTTGGGAGGGATGTGACCCACTGCACGTAATTCACCCCATACACATTTCTTACATGCCCAGCACTATACCAGGCCCTGTGCTGGGTTCTCCATGAGGATGAGCAGAAGCAATCTCTGTCTTCAGAGTACTTAGAGACTTGAAAGGGAGGTAAACTGCCAGTTTTAACAAGTGTTCTGCCAGAGGTAGGCCCAGGAGGCAGTGGGAGCATGAAGGAAGAGCTGTCTTTGAGGCCAGAGCTGTCTCCAGGAAAGATTTCCAAGAGACATTTTCATTATTTCTGGATGGCACCGAAGTACTTTTTCTTTTTTTTTAAACTTCTCTTCCAGAAGTAAGATTTTTACCTTTTCTTTAATCGTAATTAGGGACTAGTTATGATTGTTACTTTACCTCTTGGAGTGGAATAATTAAACAGTAGCCATTTTCCTTTTATTAACAGGGTATTATGAGTTAGGTTTCCCCCAGTACCCATGAACATTCCCAGCATCTCATCTTCCAGAATAACGGAGTGGACGTAATAATGTAATCAACTATGTTAATAAATTGGCATTGTTTTTCTCCAAGGAGAAGATGCTCGTTATTGGAAATGTAAAGCTTCTCAAGAAAGCCTTAGAGTCACAGCTACAAGACTCCATGGGTTAGTGGAGTTAGTGGTTTCCTTATTGCAACTCCCTAATTGACACTGATGTTACTGCTCTAATAAAAAAAGCAGGGCAAACATAGCACCTACCAAACGTGGTATCCTTTTGCATCCATATACTCTTCCCTTTATATTCAAGGGTTCAGCCAATAAACATTTACTAGGCATCCATTGTGTACCAAACAAAGTAATTAGTGCCCAAGGATTAAAAAAAGAGAATGTCATGGTGCCAAAACAATACTAGTGTGTGTTAAGTGCTGTAACAGAAGAGTACATATAAAGGAGAGACCTGAGGTTTCACAGAGCAAGCGGCATTGGTTTTGAATGAGTAGGAGTTGGGGTGAGGTTAAAAAAGCGAGACTACAGTAAGTGGAGGGACAGATAGCCTAACTTTAAGCAGAGGGAACAGTGAAACAGAATTATGAAAAAAAGCATGACCTTATAAAGGATGTGAGTAGCTTGTGGTAGGACTGAAGGGTGAACAGGGCATTTGGAAGAGTCAGACAAGAAAGAAAGGAAGGTCAGAATCAGGTTATGAGTTTACTTAGGGCAGATAAGAACAGAGCCACAGATGGGAATCCCCAGGAGAATATGAAAAGGTAACAGGTGAGTAGAGCAAGAGTCTCTGTAAATCAAGAAGACTTGAGAAGGAGCAATCAGAGGGGAAGGCAGCTTAGAAATTAGGAGAGTCATGGTTCAGAAGCTAATGGAGGAAAGAAATTTCAAGGATAGTCAAGTACCAGGGACAGGTTAAATAAGAGGGACATTGAAAACTCCCCAAATGGCAGTGCTGGAGAGTAAAGAGAAAACGTATGTGAGGGAGTTAAGCCAGGGAATGTAGACTCATCTTTCAAGGAACAGCATTTACAAGATGGCTCTCCAGGGTAAGGGCTAACACCTGTGACCAGGAAACAGCAATAGCACTCTTGCAAAGATTACATATACGTGTTCATAGCTGAATGAGAAGTTGGCAAAGCATGATCAGACTGATAGAGAACTTAATTTGAAGATCCACACTGGCCTTGCATTGTGGTCCTACGCTCATCAGAGTTGGGCATATTTCAGTTTAGAATATCAACATAAAAAGGTCTCTGATTCTTGATAAAAATGGTTTCTGACCACGGATCCCATACTTTGAAGTTCTAGAAATAACCTAACAAAACCCCTTATCATTATTTCTTAAGAAAAAATTGCTTTTGATTTGTGGGTTTTTAAAAAGTCAGGTGTGGCTAGGGTCCCTGTAGACATGAAGACCAAAGCAGACATGATTTTAGATACATCCTGTAATGAAGGACCCTGTCATTTGAAATAGGATTGGTTTTTTTTTTTCTCTGCCTGTAAAATCTTTGAACATATGTTTTCTGCTACTGTTTTTCAGAATCATTTGCTGTTTCAAATAGAGAACTGTGCGATGATGAGAAAGAGTTCATACATTTTCCAGTATGTGAGGGGACCTCTCAACCTGAACCCTCGTGTTCAGCTGTCAGAATAACAGCCAATAAAAACTACAGGAGCAAAACCTCTCAGGAAGGTGCTTTAAAAAAGATGCATGAGGAAGAACACCATCAACAAATGTCCATCTTACAACTGCAACTGATACAAATGAATGAGGTGCATGTGGCCAAAATCCAGCAGATAGAGCGAGAGTGTGAGATGGCAGAGGAGGAACACAGGATAAAAATGGAAGTTCTCAATAAAAAGAAGATGTATTGGGAAAGAAAACTACAAACTTTTACCAAGGAATGGCCTGTTTCCTCATTTAACCGGCCCTTTCCCAATTCGCCCTAAGACTTTGGGGGTGGCTCTCTTGTAATTAATCTGTGTTGGCAAAGAATGTCTGGAACATGGACTTGGCGGTCAGTAACCTGTAACAGAGCTACAACTAGGAAAATTAGAGTGGTAGTAGTCACTTATTTAAGAATTCATTCAGGTAAACAGCTGCACCCTCTGTACCCCTTAAGTGGCAAAGAAGCTGTTATAGTCTTCTGAAAATTATCACTATGAGTGCTATAATTCTGAATATAATGTCTCTTAATTAGAATTCATACAAGAACCACGTGTGAGTGTTGTTGTTGTTGTTTTTTTTTTTAATCAAATGCAAGTGTGACTATAAAGGAGTGTGGCTGATTTTTTTTTTTTTCTTTTTTCTTTTTAAACAGACAGCAGAACTTTTCTATCCAAATGAATGCCGTCCCATGGAAAGTGGCTGTCCTGGGAGGCTACACGTTTCTCCAATGGTGATGCTGTTGCTCAGAACTTGCTAGAGGTCTTTAGGGAACCTCCGTGAGAGCTGCAGCACCTTTTTAATTTTCTCGGTGTCATCCTCTGAGTATGGATTTTCTGTTTTTAAACAGCCCAAAGTTTAGAAGGGTATTTTCTAATGTGGCTCATAAACCACCTTTTAAGGCCTTTCCTCAAACAGGAGTTCTAAATAAGTCTCCAACAATAGTAGTTTTGTTGGAGCTAAGGATGTAACTACTTTGAGGAAGAAATGTTCGTTTAGATTTCTACATTCTGTTATGTTGGTTTTATTAAAAAAAAAAAAAAGACTTGCAATTTTATAGTCACACTGTGTATGTTTTTTAAAGGTGCTGCCTTCCCAGCTGTGCTCCAGTTTTTCTCTTCTCTCTCTAGTTTCCTCCCAGCTTTGTACTACTGAGTTGATAGTTGCCCTTGCTTTTAGTCTTTAGCTACCAAAGGAAAGGCCCTTCCCTCACCATGCTCATGGTGCTAGCCAGTAGTAATGCTTTGTAGCTGGCATTACATAATTAGCATTGGGCCTTTTGAGGATCCATTACCAACATATTCGGAAATATGGATTGATAAATGGATATTTTGACTGAGCTGCAGTATAGCTTCTCCTGTAGCCTCTTGTTAAAAACAGCCCCGGGTGTTGGGGACAGCAGTAGCTGGAAGCAGCAAAGTGACACTTAAGTGCCAAGGCAGATCAGCAGTTTCTGACAGTGAGAGTTCAAGGCCATGTGGTGGGGAAGGAGGAGTATATGTGGCAGAGTCCACATAAGTGGTATAGGCCTTGGAGTCAGGGCCTGAATTCTAAGCTCAACTCTCCGTCAAGTTGCCGTATGAATGTGGGTAACTCCTTTTAACCCTTGGTGTAGTGTTTCCTGTCCACAGAACAAGGGAGTTGGGCTAGATGACGTTCCAAGTCTGTTACAACTTCTTGGCTATGGTGTGGTCTGTATAGTCTTTTTTTTTTTTTTTTGAGACGGAGTATCACTCTGTCGCCTAGGCTGGAGTACAGTGGCACCATCTTGGCTCACTGCAAGCTCCACCTCCCAGGTTCACGCCATTCTCCTGCCTCAGCCTCCCGAGTAGCTGGGACTACAGGCGCCCACCACCACGCCTGGCTAATTTTTTCTATTTTTTAGGAGAGACAGGGTTTCACCGTGTTAGCCAGGATGGTCACGATCTCCTGACCTCGTGATCCACCTGCCTCGGCCTCCCAAAGTGCTGGATTACAGGCATGAGCCACCGCGCCCGGCTGGTCTGTATAGCCTTGGATGAGTACTGCCCACATCATAATCAGCTGGAGAGCATGGGTCAATAGGGAGAAATTGTTTACTGCAATGGCTAACCTTCCCTCCTGCATAATTTTGGAATTTGGGGACTGGGGACCATAAGTTTGGTAAGGTACACATATACTTGCTATTTATGCACAGCACACAAAACGGGTATGAATTTATTTTAAACACCGAATTATATTTTCAATGTCTTAGAGGAACTGGTTATTTGAAGAAAGCCTGTGAAGACTAGTCTTCTTTGAAAGAAAAGATCCTTTTGTAAGGATTTATGTTCTTAATTTAGTTTTTACCAAATGGACCCTTTTAGAGAAAGAAGCATCAGGATAAAGTCCCAATCTTCAGTGGTTTGTGGAAGAGAGAATCTGATGATTCATGCCCTCCTACCCTGTTAGAATTAGGACAGGGAATGGCAGACCCTAAACATACATGTGAACTGAGCAAAGATTGCCTTTGCTTCACCTATTGACACATTTAAGAACCTCGTTTTATAGAGAGTACGGAGTGGGGTCTGAGATTCTACATTTCTTACAAGTTCCTGGTTTATGCCAGTTCTGTTTGTCTGGTCACCACACTTCTGAATAGCAAGGTTTCAGAGGACTCTATGAAGTTTTTATTTCTCAAAAATTTGGCTTAGGTACATCTTTACATACAGTGGTGCTAGATATTATTCTTTCAGAACTTAACCATGCAACAATGCAGAAGAATACAAAAAATGCTTGCACACAGTAGTGTATTTTAATGGAACTATAAAAGCATTGAACTGATTCCTAACTTTACATATAAAGGATAATTAAACCAGCAGCCTAAAGCACCTTGCTCTACTGTTAATGGTACTTATGAGTTTATAACAGTAGCTTCCAACCTTGGCTATGCATTAGAAACAGCATTTTATAAATGATTAGTCCCACTGCGTCCCATTTCCACAGGATTCTGATTCAATTTACCTGGGCTGGGGCCTTGTCCTCTATATTTTTCAGAAGCTTTACAGGGGATTATGATGCATAATTGGGATTGAGAATCACTGATGTAGCATTCACAACTGTGTCTCATTTTATTCTTAATCCCATGAGGCCATGCAGAAGGAAGGAAATGATGCTCAAAGAAGAACCACCTGGTGTCAAGCAGATAGCTAGCGAATGGCAAAGCAGAACCTCAATCCCAGATTTCTTGACTCCAAAATATGTAGTCCAAACTGCCTGCCCTTGTCCCATTCCTTGAGCTCTATCATGAATTGGTTTTATCCTGAGAGTCAGATCACATTACAGGGTACTTGTTTCAGTGTCTCCATTTGTGAGCAAGTATATCACAATTCATTTCACTTTTGAGCAGTTTCTTACCCGAGGTAGAAATGCAATAACCATTTCTTGGTAGGTGGTGTAGGGGATAGACAGGTAAATATTAAGACACAGTTCATCATCCCCCACCTTGGCAAATTACGGACACAGCCCAGTAGGGAGTATAAGGGTTGTACACAGCTATCATGCGCTTGATCAGTGCATGTCTTCAAAGTGCACTTGTACCTCAGCAGAGAGCTAAGAAGCATGAAGGAAGTCTTCATGGAGGAGATGGCACTGGAGCTAAGTCTTCAGAGTCGGCATTTTGGCAGGTGGAGATTGGGAAACCAGAGGAACTTCACTAGATGCAAGGTCCTGTTGAAGATTCAAGGTAATGAGACACATAATTGAGAGGGAGTGACAGCATGGGGAATTTCTGAGTTTGGGCAGTAATGTGATCAGAACTGTACTCCAGGAAGAAGAGTAGAAGAAAGAACTGAGTGGAGAGAAGACTGGAGTAGGGGATACGTAGGAGGGTTTGTCCCTGGTTAGGATGAGATGATAGCAGGACCCAGAAGAGGTTGCAGTAAAACCAAGAGAGACAGCCGGGTGCGGTGGCTCACGCCTGTAATCCCAGCACATTGGGAGGCCAAGGCGGGTGGATCACCTGAGGTCAGGAGTTCGCGAGCAGCCTGGCCAACATGGTGAAACCCCGTCTATACTAAAAATACAAAAAGATAGCCAGACGTGGTGGCAGGCGCCTGTAATCCTAGCTACTTGGGAGGCTGAGGCAAGAGAATTGCTTGAACCCAGGAGGTGGACGTTGTAGTGAGCCAAGATCACACCATTGCACTCCAGCCTGGGTAACAAGAGTGAAACTCCGTCTCCAAACAAACAAACAAACAAACAAACCCACGAGGGAGATCAGTGTGAAGGGCATTGCCAAAGTGGAATCAGTAAGGCTTGGCAGTTGACCTTGTTTGTTGGAGAGAAGGGATAAGATTTTAAAGCTACATGTCTGAAAGAATGATGCTGCTGATTGAAATAAAGGAAGAAAGGATGCATTTCGGGCTCCAACCTGTCCTAGGAAGGCCTAGACCTCAAACACCATCACCTCCATGCATTTCCTCTTTGGCTACTATGTCTTTTCCCTGACTTCTGCCTCTCCAGCTCTCTGGGCTGCTGCTTCCACCTGTTCATCTGACTTAGACCCTCCCTGCTGGGTCCTTGTTCACCTACTCATTTGGTGCTTCGTCTGCCATCAGTACCTCCATTGCAGCTGGTGGGATGTCAGTCACCATCTCTTATATTTGCTTCCCACTAGAAAGATCAAGAGAAGTTATTTCTTTCCCTTGCGCTCCAATTTTTCTCTAGACAGTTGGTATCCACAATTTTAAAAAATGTTCCATGTTGTATAAACAAGCATTCGCTGAGAGGGGCTGTTAATACACATCGTGCCCCTTTTATAAAAATTCATGCATGGAATCCTACATTATTATGCATCAAAATCTCCAGAAATGTCTTAGGATTTTTGCAGGGAGAATATTAAATGCATTGTTTTGCTTTGTTTTGAAGAGACTAGATGTGCAGAGGAAGAGAGGTGGCATGGTGGGAGGGTACATTTGAGTTGTCAACAGTCTCTGCAGTGTCAGGTCAATTACATCAGCACTTGGACTGGACCAGGGAAAGGAATGATTCTGCTTCCTGGGAATGTCAGAAGGACCTGATGATTATATTTGGCAAAGCCAGGAGGAGTGGCTTTGAATGTCATTGCTAAGAATTACACTTTGAGTAGCATTTCTGGATGTCTGAGCTTTTCAAATGATACTTCTTTTCTGCTGTGGCTTTCCTTTCTGTTGGACTGGTTCCCAGAGGGTCCTCTTGTTTGTCCTTGCCCTCGCTTTTATATCAGTTCATGTTTTCTCTTCTGTCATCTTCCTTCCCAGCGCTGTTTCTCCACCCCCTCCTGCTGCACTCACAACAGCTTCCCCTCTCCTGTTTAGAGGTGGAAGCATGTAAGAATGCGTTTGAGGGGGATGCTTGCCAAAGGACAGCATATTCAACATCTGGTATCAACAAGGTAATGTTTAACCTTAGACTAGCCAAACTAGTGATGACCTGCTTCCATGCTGCATCTGCTGCTTTTTGTGTTGATGGGACTCAGAAATCATGAGAAAGGTCTTCAGTGATCCATGACTGCAACAAATTCTTTTCCTAATTGTGCCGTATATTATGCCCCTCAATACAACTTACTAATCTCTGCCTCAGTTTCTCCATCTGTGAAAGTGGTGTAATACTTATCTACCTCCCTTGAATGTTGTGAAGATTAGTATATGTTGGTAAAGCACTTTTAAAATAAAGAATGATATAAAGCATTGAATTGTTGTGTTTGGGATGTGGGTGCCCTCCTGTAGAGAGGCTGCCCTGTAGGGGAAGTATCCCAGGTGTACCATGGTTTAGGAACACCCAGTGTACAAAACTTCCATTACAAATACAAGAGTGTGATTGTTTCCTTTCTTTCTTTTTTAACTTCATCTCAGGCTCTACTTTCAGATTATTTTCTTTATGAAAAATTTCAACATGGCATTTCTTTAAATAGGCTTTTGGTGCATTTAATATGAGATTCAATTTATAGAAGTGATTTATGGAAGATTTAAAAGAACACATCTATTGAACCTCTATTACCCAATATAACTGTTGGGTTTGCAAGCTGATTATTAATCTAACAGTGAAGTTTATCATCATTAGGTGGAAAACTTGGTTTCTGCATTATCCAGATGTCCAGATTGTATATGAAAGTTCTCTCACTGTAAGTACTGATTGGAATGGACAGAATGTGATCTTGTTACTTCCGAATGAGAGGATCTGCAGTTCCACTTCTAAAATGCCCTTACAGCACAGCCAGTTTTGGGGGAAAAGACTAACCATGCATGCTCACTAAAGGGCTGACAGTCAGTCCATGAGATAGGGAAATGGAATATGGGTTCTCTTTCTTAGCTCCTGGTGACTGCTAAGAGATTTAAGTTGGCTCTGGTCTGTTTTCTTTTCTATGGGTTTTTTGGGGGGAAAATTCAAAATGCTGTTAAGAGATTTTTTTTTTTCTGGCTGGGTGCAGTGGCTCACACCTGTAATCCCAGCACTTTGGGAGGCTGAGGCGGGTGGATGTAATCCCAGCACTTTGGGAGGCTGAGGCGCGTGGATCACGAGGTCAGGAGTTGGAGACCAGCCTGGCCAACATAGTGAAACCCTGTCTCTACTAAAAATACAAAAATTAGCCAAGTATGGTGGCGCATGCCTGTAATCCCAGCTACTCAGGAGCCTGAGGAAGGAGAATCGCTTGAACCCGGGAGGCGGAGGTTGCAGTGAGCGGAGGTTGCAGTGAGCATAGATCACACCATTGCACTCCAGCCTGGGTAACAAGAGTGAGACACTGTCTCAAAAAAAAAAATTTGTTTTTTTTAAATCTAAAGACTACTTGCTATGGGGGAAATACTCTAAGTAGCAGTGGAAGGTAAGGCTCTAGTTCTTTTTCTGTCCCATCATCTGGTTCAGCTTCCAGCATAACCAAAAAGGAAATTCAGAGGCTGGTGCTGTGCATATAGATTTAGATTCTTAACTATGAGTCTCCAAAGAGTTTCTTGGAAGGGGCTGGTTGGTCTTCAACATTCTGTGGGACTGGAGGCAGTTGCCCCAGTCACTCAGGCATTGAGAAATCTGGGGTATGGCTGGGGCAAATGTCTCATGTGGTCACCTTTATTTCCAGGCTGAAGGGGCAGGAGCTATCCAGGGAACCTCTTCTCAGGACAGAAGTACAAAAGGGCAAGCGCAACTGTAGAAGAATATTTTATGATTCAGTGTTATATCTGCTAACATCTCCTTGGCCAAAGCATGAAGCTCTAAGTCAGGAGGAGGGAAGTAGACTCCTCCTAAGAAGGTGAGGAGAGGAGGAACAATAATCTAATCTACCACAGAATCACAAGTGGGAAGAAAACTAGGGGGATACCAAGGAGTTGAGATTATATTATAAATCAAGGAATGGGGAACCCAGGGAACAAATGCGTCCTCATTCCTCATTTTCTACTAAGACACTTCTTCATTACTGCTTTCCTTCCTCTAAATTTGTTTTTCATTTAGTGGGGGAGGCTTTAAAATGGTGATAATAATAGAAAACCCTTCATAGGGTTGTTGGATTAAATGAGTGACATATGTATTCAGAATACTGCCTGGCATATAATAAACATTATATATTTTAGCCATTATTATTTTTTTCAAGGTCATATGGCTTCTACATGGGGATGGAGAGATTTGAACCTAAGTGGTCTGGCTCCAGAGTTCATGCTTTTAAGAATGACAATACAGACCAGGGGTGGTGGCTCACGCCTGTAATCCTAGCACTTTGGGAAGCCAAGGCAGGTTGATCACTTGAGGTCAGGAGCTTGAGACGAGCCTGGCCATCATGGCGAAACCCTGTCTCTACTAAAAATACAAAAATTAGCTGGGTGTGGTGGTGTACTCCTACCTCAGGAGGCTGAGGTAGGAGAATGTCTTGAACCTGGGAGGCAGAGGTTTCAGTGATCCTAGATCGTGCCACTGCACTCCAGCCTGGGAGGCAGAGGTTTCAGTGATCCTAGATCGTGCCACTGCACTCCAGCCTGTGCGACAGAGCAAGACTCCATCTCAAAAAAAAAAAAAAAAAAAAAGAAAAGAATGACAATACACCTGGGTGCGGTGGCTCATCCCTGTAATCCCAGCACTTGGGAAGGCGAAGGTGGGAGGATCACTTGAGCCCAATAGTTCGAGGCCAGTCTGGGTAACATTGTGAGATTCTGTCTTCAAAAAAAAAATTTAAAAATATTAATAAAAAAGAATTATAATACACAGCCTTTGTATTCAGCATCTGACTTCAAATCTTAGCTTTGCAAAGATGTGACCTCCTGAGTAAAGACCATCATCAGCAAAATACCTACTTTCTCATGATTGCTATGATCTCATGAGAATACAAATTTGGAAGAGCCTTGAAAATCGTAAACTCAAACCCCACAAAATTCCACAAAAACAAACCCCCAAAACCTCTAACCCTCTATTCTGATCTTTTGTGTTACAAGAGTCTAAGACTATCTCTTCTCCCATCACAAAGCCTCATCTTCAGTTGCCTTCCAGCCTCCTTACTCTGACACTCCTTGAACACAATCATTAGTCTCTCAGTTTCAGAGCCAGACTCTGTGAAATTTCTTCTGTTGATCCCTCTACCTGGAGTTCTCTTAGCTTCTCTGCAATCCCTTCCCATCACCTATGCTGCTGAAATGTTAGCCGTTCTTCAAGGTCAAGTGAACAACAGGACATAATCCTAGAATCTGGGCTCTGGTTCCAGTGTTGTGGGCAAGTTACTAGGTCTCTCTGGATACTAATTTCTTTGTTTGTGAGATAAGGGTGTTGGAGAAGAGGATCTCTAAATTCATGTTCTAATTAGTCTAATTCTGAAATTAAACTAACTTTTTCAATTTACTGCATGTAACCCAAGTTATCAATTTTACCTTCTCCTTAACAGATAATGTGTACATAAATGGAATTCAAATACTACATGCAGGTGGATCAGCCCCCAAGGTTGAAAGCACCATTCATGAATGTTATTGATTATTGTATTATACTTAAGCTGTTTATAAATGCAATCTAAATATAGGTAATAGAAGAATTTCTCTACAATGGGAACAAAAAGGTTGTTGCTGCTCCAAATGTAATTTTCCCAACAAAATGTAATTGCTGTTTATTTCAAACTGCCCAGTTCTATAGATTATAGACCACTTCTATTTTATAAATTTCCCCATTCTAAGGCAATCATGTGCCCAGAATATGTAGATTTTTGTATGTCCTTTAAAAATTCTAATCAATTGATTATGGTAGATGATTTCTATTGTAAAACAAGGGCTATGTGAAAAACTACTTCAAGTGGAAGGAAGTCAGCATTTATTGAACACCTTCTGGGGGGCTTTAGGCATATTTATGTATTATTTCATTTAATTCCATAAATAGTCTGCAGATGTAAGTAATAATATTCATATTTTATAGAGGAGGAAGTGAAGCCTGGAGAGGTTAAAGTGACTCGTTCAAAATTATATACCAAAAGTTCTGGAAATGGATAGTGGTGATGGTTGCACAATAATGTGAATGTACTTAATGCCACTGAATTGTACACTTAAAAGTGGTTAAAATGGTAAATTTTGTGTTATGTTTCACCACAAGAAAGAAAAGGAAATCACATAGCTAGTAAATAGCTTAACTAGATTTAGATTCCAAGTCAGTAGGCTTTGATTGGTCTGTTTATGACATGGGAGAAATTCAGCACGCTGATTGGGTGGTTATGTTCATCAAAGATCTGCCAGGAGACTGAGGAGCCTGAAGCAAAAAAAGCAGAGAGAAGAGCTAAGTGAGGTTTTAAGTGTCAGCAACCAGCTTAAGATGGCAACCCCAATTCTGTCTGATAGCAAGCTGAGAACCAGTGACCAAGGCAAAAAAGAGATCATCAATCAGGTTTGCCATTTAGATTAGTGTTTCTGCAATGTTAGTATGCATATAAATCACCTGGATATCTCATTAAAATGCAGATTTTGATTTAGTAAATCTGTGATGGGGTGAATTTTGCATTCCTAACAAGCTCCCAGGTGATGGTGATATTGTTGGCCATGGACTAACTGATGTATAGCAAGAATTTAGATCACTCTAACCTCCTCCAAGGCAGTTGTCTAAATGTGGCTTTCAGATCACTTGCACCAGAGAATCTGGGGTGCTTTCACAGAGCAAATTCCGGGCCCCATCCTGGACCTACTGAATCGGGATCTCTGAGGTGGGATTGGAATGTACACTTGTAACAAGCTGCCCATTTGCTTGTTACGTATATGATGTTTGAGAACCACTGCTAATAGGACATCAACATGTCATCATAATTATAAACCCCTTCACTTGCGTACCCATTTCCAGTTTATAAATCCTTTTCACATCCTGTTTTTCCTGTACCTGTACAGCAGGCTGATGAAGCTGATACCATTAGCCCTGCTCTGCAAATGAGGAGAATGACATCTCTAGTCTTAAGTGCTAGACTCAAAGGGTTTCTGACTCCCAGGAAAGCATTCTTATTATTTTGTGGCTTGCTTTACCACTTTACCATATCTTTACTTATACTCCTACACAAATTAGAAGTTCTTTTATGTCTAAAAAGTTTTGCAGAGCAATTTTCTTGCTATGATGCTTTTAAAGATTTCAATCTAATTTAGCACATCAAGCAGCACAGTTTATGCTTATAAGCATAAAGTTATCCAAGGTCATGGCAAAGAAAAGTTTGGTGAAGTAATTAAGAAATAGTTTGCACTGAGGTTTTTTTTTTTAAATATTTTTAAAACCCTTTACCTACATTTATCAATTGTTAATAGTTCGTTTTCCTCTCTTTTAACCATTTGAAAGGAAGTTACAGACATCATGACACTTCATCCCTAAATATTTCAGCATGTATCTACCAAAAATAAGAAAATTCTCTTAGATTACTATAATCCCATCATCACACCTAAGACAATTAACATTAATTCAGTATCGTCTAATAGTCTATGCTCAAATTTCTGCAGTTATCTTAATATCTTTTATTGCTGTTTATTTTTTCGGATCCGATTAAGGTTTACTGCATTTGGTTGTTTTGTCTGTTTAGTCTAAATAATCTAGAACGAACCTCTCTCCTTATCTTTTGTTTTTCATGACATTAAATTTATTTTCAAGTCCAGGACTTGTAAAGTACCCTCACATTCTGAATTTATTTGGGTACTTCCTCGTGATTAGATTCAGGTTCAACCTTGTCAGCAAGGGTATCATGCAGATATATGTCACGAACCTCTGATTGCATCATTTTAGGAGGCACATAATGGCAAATTGTCCCTAAATTTGATCACCTGGTGGAGTCGGTAGCAGTCAGATCTCTCCATTATAAAGTTACTTTCTTTCTTTTTCTTTTTTTTTTTTAAATAACCTGTTTTAATTATATTTCATTCATTTCAAACACAAGGTTATGGATTTGAAACACCCCCTGTTCTTTGTTGTTGTTGTTGTTGTTTTGAGACGGAGTCCCACTTTGTCGCCCAGGCTGGAGTGCAGTGGCGCGATCTCGGCTCACTGCAACCTCTGCCTCCTGGGTTCAAGCGATTCTCCTGCCTCAGCCTCCCGAGTAGCTGGGATTACAGGCCTGCGCCACCATGCCCGGCTAATTTTTGTATTTTTAGTAGAGACAGGGTTTCACCATGTCAGCCAGGCTGATCTCAAACTCCTGACCTCAAGTAATCTGCCTGCCTCGGCCTCCCAAAGTGCTGGGATTACAGGCGTGAGCCACTGCTCCTGGCCAAAGTTACTTTCACTCATAGCTAATAAGTTGTCTGTAGGGTGATGCTTTAAGACCATGAATATTGTCTCCTTGTAACCTTTCACCCAACGGTTTTGGCATACATTGATGATCCTTATCTGATTCCATTATCTTGTTGAAGATTGCAAAGTGGTGATTAACTCAGTCTTGACCATTTGTCAGCATTCATATGGAAAGAAGGTATGTTGGGTTTGAGAAAATCTGAATTTAGGTTACCTCAAGTCATGCTGGCTACTCAGAAAGCAAAGGCTCCACTTCGCCACATGTTTTTTAAGAGATTGTCTCCCTTAGAACTCCTTTGCTGGGGTGGGGAGGAGAGGGGATAGTTTTTCCCTGTGCCAAGAAACACCCACCAGAGAGAAAACTTCCTTCCTCCTCCTAAGCATCACAGCTTTAGGTTGTTGCCTCTCTGGTGTCTGCCTCTGGTGCTATCCATCTCTCCTAAGCTCTGCTGGGAGAACATAGAAGCTGTGATCCGGGAATTTCCTCAATAACTCAAAATCCTAACTACAAACCACCTGCAACAGCCCCCATTCTTTCTACCTTCCTTCTTGTTACAAAGAAGAAAGTGTCTTCTTTTAATAGCCATTTCTTCTATCTGTGCTCTGAATGCCACTCCTTCCTATTTTCTCAAGAATCTCAGGCAGGGCTCACGCCTGTAATCCTAGCACTTTGGGAGGCTGAGGCGGGTGGATCATGAGGTCAGGAATTCGAAACCAGCCTGGCCAACATGGTGAAACCCCTTTCTACTAAAGATACAAAAGTTAGCTGGGCGTGGTGGCGGGCGCCTGTAATCCCAGTTATTCTGGAGGCTGAGGCAAAATAATCATTTGAACCTGGGAGGCAGAGATTGCAGTGAGCCAAGATCGTGCCATTGCACTCCAGCCTGGGTGACAGGGCGAGACTCTGTCTCAAAGAAAAAGTCTTATGCGACTGATTATCCTTTCTCCTGTGTTGTTATGTTCAAGTCTCCTCTTGCCCCCTTAATGGATTTTTATCATAATCATTTAAATATTTTATAGTCTTATCTTAAAAAGTACTTTCTTTACCCACAGTCACCTTTAGCTTTCTCTTCTTCCCTTAACAGCTGAGCTGTCTAAACATTCTGTCTCTACTTCCTACTTCTTTTTTTTTTTTGAGACGGAGTTTCCCTCTTGTTGCCCAGCCTGGAGTGCAGTGGTATGATCCCGGCTCACTGCAACTTCTACCTCCTGGGTTCAAGCGATTCTCCTGCCTCAGCCTCCCAAATAGCTGGGATTACAGGTGCCCGCCACCATGCCCAGCTAATTTTTGTATTTTTAGTAGAGATGAGGTTTCACCATGTTGGCCAGGCTAGTCTCAAACTCCTGACCTCAAGTGATTCATCTGCCTTGGCTTCCCAAAGTGCTGGGATTACAGGTGTGAGCCACTGCGCCCGGCCTCTACTTCCTACTTATTACTAAGTTTCAATAAACTCTTTTCTGGATTCTGCTCCTACCACTTTACCAAATGGCTTTACTAAGATCACTGATGACTTATAAGTGACTGTATCCATTGGACTCATTTTGCTTTACCTATCAGCAGCATTTGACCAGTTGACCATGTCCTGCTTTTTGAGACACTTTTGCTTCTTGGTCACTATGACAGTGCTCTTTCCTGGGTTCCTTCTGAATTTCCTGACAGTTCTGTCACAGTTAGTTACTTCTATCAGTGTTCCTCAGCTTCAGCCTAGTCCTCTTCTTTCATTTTATAAAATCTCATTAAATCATCACACTCACTTTCATGACTTCAATTAATTTACCTTCTGATGCCTTCCACCTTTATATGCCAAGTATAAATCTCTCTTCTGAGCACCAGGCTTATAAATTCAACTGCTACTGGACACCTCCATCCAGATGCCTCACTGGCCCTTCAAATTCAGTGTGCCTAAAACTAACTAAACTCATCATTTTCTCTCCAAACCTGCTTTTTGTCCAGAGTTTCCATTTTAGTAAACGCCACTGAATTTGGAATTAACCCTTGCTTGACATTTTTTCTTCCTCATCTCCCACATCTAGTCAGTTACCAAGTTCTGCTGATTTTACTTCCTAAATTCAATTAATTTACTTGTCTCCATCTTCCCTAGTCCGAGCCACCATCCTCACTCACGTGGACCATGTTGATAGCCCCCTCATGGTTTCCCTGCATATATTTTGCCTTTCCAATCCATTATGCACACTGCAACCCAAATGATTTGTAACAGCTTTGATAAGATGTAATTAACATAACTTACAGTTCACCCATTTAACCAAGTGACCTTTTACAAACACAAATCTGAGCAGGTTATTCCCTGCTTATAATTTTGAAATCAAGTCTGAATCCTTATTCTAGCTTATTTTATTAAATTAATTTATTTATTTTTTTGAGACAGAGTTTTGCTCTGTTGCCCAGGCTGGAGTGCAGTGATGTGATCTTGGCTCACTGCAACCTCCACCTCCCGGGTTCAAGTGATTCTCCTGCCTCAGCCTCCCGAGTAGCTGGGATTACAGGTGCATGCCACCACGCCCGGCTAATTTTTTTGTATTTTTAGTAGAGACAGGGTTTCACTGTGTTAGCCAGAATGGTCTCAATCTCTTGTGATCTGCCCGCCTCGGCCTCCCGAAGTACTGGGATTACAGGCATGAGCCACCGCACCCTACCCTTTATTCTAGCTTAAAAAGTCCACATCATCTGCCCCTTGCTTCCTAAAGTCCCCAACTTCATTCTCTGTCATTCACTCTCCAGACTTCATCCACGGTTGCCTTTTCTCTATTTCTTGAACTTGCCATACCCTTTATTCCATTTTTACACGTTGATTTTTTTTCATAGACTACTGTTCCCTCTCTACCCCTTTCTAACTCATCAGTCTTCCCGCCTCAGCTTAAATATCACTACTTCCAGGAAGCTTTCCTTGATACCCCCACTGCCTGCTGTGGTAGGAGTCTGATACATTCACAATCATTCGCAAAAGGCTTTACATTTAAAGTTTGACTTCTCTGTTAGACTACAGGACAGGGATGGTGTTTATCTTGTTCACCTTTGCATCCTCACTGCCTAACATGGTTGCTTAGGAGATAATGGGCAATCTCTAAATATTGTTGGATGAATGCTGGGTGAATGGGGGTATTGTTACCAAGATTCATGTCCTGCCCTGACCCCTGTTCTCATCGTTGTTGAAGTCACCACTACCAAAGCTGCCTTATGTATTATTACTATTGTTCTGTGCTGAGAGAAATAGCTTCAGAATGCAGTCTTGCTGTTTTACTTTTACATCTCCCTCAATTAGGAAACTAGACTAAGGACTGAATCCAATAATATTGACCCTTATGCTGAACCCCCAGGCCATTAGACTTTAGGGAATAATTTTTAACTGGGACGAAGGGAGAATAATTAAAAGTCTGTTGATTCAAGTTCACATGTACATATACAGATGAGTTGATAAATACAGTAATGGATGCATGGATACACACATGTAAATGTGCATGTACAAACACAGGGCCCAGCTGTCATACTCCAATATGCATGCATACACACACTCACAGAGGCAACCTGATATATACTCACTCCTTACATATGTACACAGAGTAAAATGACATATGCTTGGCACTTATGCATATGTACAGAGGCAAGCTGATACACTCATTACATATGTACACACAGGCAAATGACATATGGTCAATACATATGTATACATACAGAGGAAAGCTGACATACTTAAACACACACAGTGGTAAAATGTAATTATTTAGTTCCATTTGACTCACTGTAATTCCTCCAGGTACCTAGCTCCTTGCTTTATCTCTCTTTCATGATTCTTGGCTCAGTGGATGCCATTCTCAAGTTCCCAGCCTCTTGGCTGAAACATCTTGTCCTTCCTTTTGACCCACCTGGCTTTTTGTCAGAACTTTTCCTCCCAGCAGCTTAGCTACCTCTGCCAATTACCAGGCTGCTGTCCTGCAGGCCTCTCTAGTACCCAGCCAGCCCAGATGAGCTCTTTTCACTGTTGACTTTAACCTTCTGGGTTTTGACTCAAAGTATAGGCTTTGGATTCAAAGTATAGGCTTTGGAGCTAGACAGACCTGGCCCCAGCCTTGTTGCCCATTAACTGAGTAACCTTGGGCAAATTACCTAACCTCACCAAACCTCAGCTTTCTCATCTATACAATTAAGATAATAGTAGTACCTTCTCAGGCCAGGCATAGTGGCTTACACCTGTAATCCTAGCACTCTGGAAGGCTGAGATGGGAGGATCACTTGAGGCGAAGTGTTCAAAACCAGCCTGGGCAACATAGTGAGACCCTCATCTCTTAAAAAAAAAATAAAAAAATCAGCCAGGCATGATGGTGCACACCTATAGTCATAGCTATTCAAGAGGCTGAGGGTGGAGGATTGCTTGAGCCCAGGGTTCAAGGTTACAGTGAGCTATGATCGCATCACTGCACTCTAGCCCAAGTGACAGAGTGTGACCCTGTCTCTAAAAAAATAAAAAACAAAAAACAAAAAAACACAAAAAGACTAGGTTTTTGGTTGTATTAGATAATACATGTGGAGCTCTTAGTCTGGTATATAAGTACAGTTAATGACAACTGCCACTAACAGTAACTAACATTTATCACGTGGTTACTATGTGACTCCTACTTCTAGTTAATGATTTACTGAGTACTTATGATGTAATAAGCATGGTTCTAAGCACTTCACATCTATGAACCCATTTTATTCTTACAACAACCTTATGAAGCAGATAAAAATTTTATCTCTGTGTTACAGATTATCAAACTGAGGCCCCAAGAAGTTAAATAATTTGGCCAAGGTCATATTGCTAACAAACAGTAGAGCTAAGATGCAAACCCAGATGGTTTGGTTCCAGAGCCTACACTCTTAATTACTATGCTATACCTCCTACTTCCATTTACATGTGATTGTCTTTCTCAGAGAAGCTATTTCTTTGGTACACTCCTTTATGAACTAAAACCCTTGGAGAAATTTTTGGATTGCGGCTGAAAATTTCCATTTGCCGAAAGATCAAGAAAAATCTTACTTCTGTATTCAGAGCAATGCTGAACAACTGAATGACAAGAAGACCTGCAGTAAAAACCCAGAGATGCCTCCTCAGTTTCTCTACCCACTCACAGGGACTGTTTGGGTGAGAAGTGACAATTATAGTGATGAAGCCTGTTCTCCTTCAGGCAGAGTTAGGATATCTTTCTGCATTCCCATAGCACTTTTATTCTGTAACCCTTGCCTTCTTGGCTTCTACCTTGTCTATGTAACTGAGGACCATTCAGGGGAAGTGGATAAGAATAACAGTGATTCCAACTGAAGTCCCCACCAATGTCATCACAAGAATCTCTGAATATAATCACAAGAAACCCAGTGAAATCTCCTGACACTCTTGCAAGATGGTCAGGATGGCTTGTGAAGATTCTGGTGCCTGCAGTCTTGATAATGCCAATTTTTTGCTTCATCATGTGTCAGATGATGATGCTTCTCCATCTTCTCCTGCTAGTGATGTGGTGAGGCTTTACAGTCAGAATGAACCTGGTGACTCCAACTTCTTCACCTTGTGGCCTTGGGTACTTGACCTGATGCTTTGTTTTTTCATCTATAAAATGGAAATAATACTTACCAAAAAGGTGGGCGGGAAGATTAATGACAACAAATGCGAAGTGCCTGGGACATAGGCATACCTGGGCCATAGCAGGTCCTTGGTGTATTATTATCATGGCTCAACCCAAAAATTATTCTCTCCCACTGACATTATTATTATTATTATCAGGTCTCCCCTATTAGACCGTAAGCTCTGTGAGAATCAGAGACTTTGTTTTGTTCACTGCTGTTTCTCTTTATCTAGGACAGTGCCTAGATCATAGTGGGTGCTCAGTAAATATTTGTTGAATCAATAAATGAAGTCCTAAATAAGTTGACCTTTTTTTTTTTTTTTTTTTTGGAGATGGAGTTTCGCTCTTGTTGCCCAGGCTGGAGTGCAGTGGCGCAGTCTTGGCTCACTGCAACCTCTGCCTCTCGGGTACAAGCGATTCTCCTGCCTCAGCCTCCCGAGTAGCTGGGATTACAGGCGCCTGCCACCATGCCTGGCTAATTTTTTGTAATTTTAGTAGAGATGGGGTTTCACCACGTTGGCCAGGCTGGTCTCGAACTCCTGACCTGAAGTGATCCGCCCACCTCGGCCTCCCAAAGTGCTGGGATTACAGGCGTGAGCCACCGTGCCTGGCCGACCTTGTTTTTTTAGGTTCTTACTAAACTGGCTGGCATTCAGATGCTCTTACTCTCAGGGGAGTGTTCCCTCTGCCTGGAGCACTCCCTCTTCACCTGGTTAACTTCTACTCCTCCTTCTGATCTTAGCACAAGCATCACTCCTTTAGGGAAACCTCTCTGACCTTCTCTTTCATAGCATTTGTTAACAATATTGCAATTTTAATTTTATTTGTATAACTGTTTGATTAATATTTGACTGTAAACTTCCTAAGGACAGGGACCAGGTCTGCTGTACTTACCATTGTATATTCCCAGGCACTAGGAGTAGACCTTCAGCACAAATTTGTTGAATGAATAAATAACATCAATTTTACAAAGACCCCCCTATCTAGAAATTGGGGTCCAGTTTCACAAATTGGATCAGAGATTAACCCCAGGCTTTGCCAGTGCTGCACCATAAATCATTGCTTTCCCCTGTTTCTGGGTCAAGCACTGTGACTCTCTCCTACTGGGGCCAATTTGTCAGTCCCAAAGTGTCTCATTACTGTTTATCAGGACGTCATTATGCAGCTGGACCCTCCAGCAGGAGGTCTAGGAAAGCCAGGATATTGGCAGGGCTGGGAGTATGGGATGGGATTTGCCATTTACATCTACCCCACCCTCACTCCATTTATATTTAGTATTTATCACACTGAGTTGTAGTTGTTAATTTTCAAGTGTCTCCTTCTCTCCCACACAGTGAGGGCAGGATCTCTTGCCCACAGAGGCTACTCTGGTGTGCAGCAAATGCTCATAAGGGTTTCTTGAAGGAATGCAATGTTTTCCATGAGTGAAGCTTAATTGAGAACAGAAATCAACTCATAAGAGAGGGCACTACCTCTGGCATTTTTTTTTTTTTAAACCTGAGCCAATAAATCCCTTTTTGTTTACCTTAACTTGGATTGGGGTTTTCTGTTACTTGGAACTGAAAACATTCTGGTAGAGCATAACTAATGATGTTCAATATAAGATCTCTGATAGATTTTTGTTTTAAAATATTCACTTCCTATTTACTCCCTCTCACTTACCTCCATAAGGAGAATAAACTTCCCTATCCCTTGTCTTTGAGCTCGGCTATAGGACTGATCTTAGCCAGTGAGATTTTAGCAGACATATACAAGCAGTGTGTAAAAAGTGCTAGCACAGTTGGGTGTGCCCCCTTGTACCACTGCCATCTCCGTGACAAGAGTTCTTCCTGGGTCCCATCCCCAGAATGAATACTAGAATAATGAACCAGAGCTCAACCAGCACATAGGAGCCAAACCCAGCTGAACCTGTATCTTGAAGCAAAGCCATCCACCCAAGCCTAGCCTAGATCAACCAGCCAACCCCCAGTCAACCTCTAAACCTATGAGAAATGAATGCTCCTTGTGGCATGCTGCTGAGATTTTATGGTGGTTTGTTAGGGAGCAATAGCTGACTGATCAGGTTCAGGGTTTTCCATACTTGACAGTGCATCTGAATTATCTAGACAACTTTAAAATAAATAAGAGATACTTGGGCATCACCTAGAATGTTTGGAGTACTGTTCAGAAATCTACATCCTGTAAAAATTCACTGGGTGGTATTTAGGTAGTGAGTCCCACAGCCTTTTGCTATCTGATATTTTGGGGTCACCAGTATTAAGGCATGTCATGGGTGTTACATTAATTCACTTCTAACAACCTTTTCCCTCTCTGAGATTATATGATCAAAGTCAGACAAATTCTGTTTCTGAAGCAGAGTTCTTTTCAAGAAATCTGTATTGAATTTGTTTTAGCTGATTTGGGGAAAGATGCAGATGTAAATTAATTTGTGACTTATGGCCCCAGGATTTTTTTTTTTACTTGCTCTGTTGCCCAGTGCCCAGGTGGTACAGTGGCATGATCATAGCTCACTTGTAACCTTGAACTCCTGGGTGCAAGTGATCCTCTCACCTCAGCCTCCTGAATATCTAAGACTACAGGTGCACACCACCACACTGGCTAATTAAATTTTTTTTTTTTTTTTTTTGTAGAGACAAGGTCTCACTATGTTGTTCAGTCTGGTCTCGAAGTCCTGGCTTCAAGCAATCCTCCTGCCTCGGCCTCAGAAAGTGCTGAGATTACAAATGTGAGCCACCCACTCCCTCCGATTTTTTGCTTTTTATTTAATGGTTGACTTCTCTTAGTATTTCTGCCTGGGCTATGGTGAGCAGTGAAATGAAAATTCAAGGCAGAATACTGGGGCTTGGAGAGCCAAGACACAGGTCAGGAATGAAGCATGGAAGAGGTCAACCTTAGCAGAGAAGCTGCTGAAGGTCTGAGAAAAAGCCTTAGCTGTGGCTTAGCAGTTAGGAACCTGAGATCCCACAATATTCAGAAAAGCCAGAAGTTCAATTTTAGTTCTAACATTTGGCATGCCACTAACAGTTTAGACGTGTGAGGCGAGTCTTAATAAAATGTTAAAAAATGTGAATTTATTTGTATAAAAAGTATAATGAAAGTACTATTTAAAATAGTTTTTTTTTTCTTTGAGACAGAGTCTTGTGATCATGCCTGGGTGACGAAGTGAGACCCTGTTAGAAAAAAAAAAAGATAAAAATTCAGATCACAGAGAAAAATATAAAGAACAGGTAATTATAGGTAATTATTACTCATAAGCTGGTCTTTCAGACATAACCACTGTTAATATATTGCTGTATAGTGTTCTTCACTTTTTTCTCCTAGGGATGTGTACACATTATATATATTCTAGAAAAATAGGGTTTTCCTATTACTCATCAGTATCCTGCTTTTTCCATGTCAGTAAACGCTAACCTAATTATCATCATTGTTAAAGCTGCATAATACTCCATTGTACTAAGAGGTACCGTACTTTAGTCCCCACTGATGGACATTTAAGTTATAAAGGCTGTGATGAACATCCTAATGTATACATTTTTGTGTGCTTATCCAGTTATCCTTTAGATAAATTCCAATAAATGGAATTGCTAAAGAGTAAACATATTTTAAAGGTTTTTTGATACATAGTCAAATTGCCCTCCTAAAATGTATAAATTAGTAGTGCTCAGTCTGCCAATTCTTTTAACTCTTGTTAATCATCCAAAGGGAAAATAATTGTGTGTGCGTGTGTGTGTGTGATGGAGTTTCGCTCTTGTTGCCCAAGCTGGAGTGAAATAGTGCAATCTCTGCTCACTGCAACCTCTACCTCCCGGGTTCAAGCGATTCTCCTGCCTCAGCCTCCTAAGTAGCTGGGATTATAGGCGTTACAGGTGCGCGCCACCATGCCTGGCTAATTTTTTCTATTTTTAGTAGAAACGGGGTTTCACCATGTTAGCCAGGTTGGTTTCGAACTCCTGCCCTCAGGTGATCCGCCCACCTCGGCCTCTAAAAGTGCTGGGATTACAGGTGTGAGCCACTGCCCCTGGCCAGAGTTTTGTGGTTTTAATCTTTTATTACTAGTGGGTTCAAATCTGTTTTCATGTATTTATTGTCTGTACTTTTTGTGAATAAGAGTCAAGCTTCCTATTTTTCTATTATGTTAACTTTTTCTTCTTGACATATAACTTTATATTAAGTATATTGTCTCATATTTGCACTGAAGACATTTTTCCTAATGTGGCTTTGCTTGCGGTGGCTTTTCACACATTTCTTAATTTTATGAATCAAATTGATCAGTTTTTCAATGAGACTTAAAATTCCTTCTGGGGTGGGATGCAATATAATAGAATGAAAAAGGCAGAGGACTTTCACACAATTCAGTCCATGATCTTAGTACCTATGTCTAGTTATCACCTAGCAGGATGTGGTAGGAAGAGCACTGGACTGGGAGTCAGATCACCTTGCCTCTCTGGGTCCCTACTTCCTCATCTGTAGAATGGAGATAAGAACGAAAACTCCCTCCGAGGCCTGTAAAAAAATAATTGAAGAGAATGCACATAAAGAGCTTTCACCAGGCCTTGTATATTAGAAAATCCTCTCTGAATCTCAGCTTTTGTTAGGGGGAGAGGGCAACACAGACTTTTGTAAAACTATTTTCACTCACTTGTATGTGAGTCTACGGGAATGAGGTGGGGATGAGGAACCTAGAAATCTAACCATTCACCCAACATCTCTGAGAACTGCATGGCTAGAGTCAGAACTTGGGCTCCCATCCTGGTCCTGCCCATTTCTTGGTATGCAACCTTGGACAAGTCACCTTTACCTCTTCCGTGACTCAGTTTCTTCCACCTAAAAACTATTATAGATATATGACAGACCACCTGCCCTCATTCCCAGCCCTGCTGCTGGGCGAAGGAAACGCTTCAAAAACAGCTCACAAAGGGCGGCAAACAAGTCTGCTACGGTGCAGCCTACCGCCGAGGGGTGGCCCCAACCCCGGCCCCCGCGCCCCTGCCCTGTCGCAGGAACAATAGCTCCCCTGGAGGCGGCGCCGGCCGCGGCCGGGGGCGGAGCTGTCGGCGCGGGAGCTGGGGGTGTGCGCGGGGCGGGGTCGCAGCCACCCCTCCCGCCGGCGGCTCCGTCACGCGCCCCTCACCGGGCGGGCCGGGGTCTTTGTGACGCGGTGGCAACGGCCACGGACACAAAGGGAAGGCGAGGAGGCGAGCAAGAGGCTGGGCCTGCCTCCGGCCCGCGACCCCCGCCCGCCGCGCGCGCGCCCGCCCGCTCCCCTCGCCGCGGTGTCCCCCACGCCGGCTCGCACCCTCGCGCGCACCCTTGCGCGCCCGCGACCCTCGCACGCGCCCGGACCCGCCGACTCCGTCCCGAGCGCCGCGGGCCCGGGCCTGGCGGACGCTGCGGGTGGGGCGGGGATGCTGACGGGCTGCTCCCCGGCTCAGCGGCGCGGCTGCTAGGAGGCACCGAGGCAGCGGCGGGGCTCTGGGCGCGCGGCTGGATGCCCCCGGCCTGCGGCTCCCTGCGCTTCCCGCCGTCCAGGGGCACCAGTCATGGGCGCCGCAGCCGCTGAGGCGCCGCTCCGGCTGCCTGCCGCGCCTCCGCTCGCCTTCTGCTGCTACACGTCGGTGCTTCTGCTCTTCGCCTTCTCTCTGCCCGGGAGCCGCGCGTCCAACCAGCCCCCGGGTGGTGGCGGCGGCAGCGGCGGGGACTGTCCCGGCGGCAAAGGCAAGAGCATCAACTGCTCAGGTAGGACCGGTCGGAGCCGGCCCTAGGTCTTCCCACCCCTCCGTTGCCGCCTCCCTCGTGGTCCCTGCGGTCGGCCGGGCTGGGAAAGACCCCGTCGTGGGGGTCCCAGGGGTGGGCCCGAGGGTGAGCGAGGGCGGAGGGCAGGGCGCGAGCGTGCGGTGTGGCTTTGGGACCGGCGCTGGGGATGGGAGTGGCCGTGGGTGCGTCCGAGTGTGTCGAGTGGCTGGGCGAGGGCGGCCCGGCGTGTGGGGAGGCGGTGGGGCCGGGGCCGGGGCCGGCGAGGCTGAGCGGCCGGCCGGGGCTCCCGGTGTGGTCGTGGGTGTGCTCGCGGGAGCGTGTGTTTGTGTTGTGAAGGCTGAGGGGAGGGAGGGCGGCCCCAGGCAGGGATCTGTGTGTGTGTGTGCAGAGTGCGGTGGGTGGGAGACGGCGAGGGGGCTGGGCGGGGTGAGGGCAGGGGAGTGACCATGTGCTGATGTGCTGGGGAGATTCTTCCTTAAGGCACTGGGGGTCTCGGGGGTGGGGGTCGTGTGGATAAAGGGAACGGGTTGTCTTGAGGACGCGGTTTGGCGATGCAGAGTGACTGTGTGTGTGCGCGCGCGCGCGCGTGTGTGTTCTTTGGGTTCTGAGATGGGATCTGGGGGCTTAGAGTGACCTCGGGTCTGTGGATATGAGCGGGGAAAGTCCCAGGGCCCAGGAAGTGACCCTGTGTTTTTGTGTGTTGTGTGTGAAGCCTGGGGCTCAGTTAGTCACCCTGGGGTATGCATTGAAGAGGAGGGATGGGTGCCCTATAGCGAACCCCATTTATGTCTTTTCAAAGGGGAGGAGGCTTGGGAGTCATCATCCTGTGTAGGGTTTGGATGTAGAAAGAGGAAATTAGGTCTCAGGGAATGCCCTTGTGTAGCAAGGTGTAACCCTGGGTTATTAAAGTGTGGAAAGAGAGAATTGGGTCCCAGGGAAGATGTCGTGCCTGTGTGTGTGTGTTTTGCGGGAGGGCCTGGATTCTGGCAGCAGCGGGGAGCAAGGGAGTGACCTCTCCCCTCTCTCCAAGGCCGCTTGCCCCCCCACAGCTGTTGGAAACAAAGAGCTTGCTGAGGCTTTAGTGGATAACACTGGGGAGGAGGGTCCCAGCAGTAAAGTTCCTCTTCATTTCTAAAGGGGTCCCAGAGGCGCACAAGGATTATGGCCCTGGGGCAAAGACAGGCATTCAGGTCTCATTTTTTGAGTGGAGGGTCTTCTTGGAGCTGGCCTAGCAGATGCTAGTGATCATAAGCCACATCCTTGCTAACTTGCCCTTTTATCAATTCTGGAGCCTTCTCTTGTCTTCTTTAAACCAAGGCGGAGTAGGGGGAGGAGGGAGGAACATAAGGCCACTGGGAATCTGCCGGACAACCTTTATACTTTTGGGCTCTTGAAGGGGCATTATTTCTGGAAGAGTGAGGAAGGAGCAAGAGAGTCTCAGCGCAGATGCTTATGCTACCCTAAATGAAGCAAGCCTTTGGCCCGCTATTTAGGTTTGAAGGCCTTAAATCTTTTAATAATTTTCATATGGTAATGTTTTATGAGGGGAATGGCAGTTTTGAGCACAGTAAACAATGGCATGTCCATTAAAAGCATTTCCATCCGTGAAAAAACTTTTCTGTTATTTTTCTGATGTTGAACGGGATATGGGGTAATGCTTTATTACATAATCATACTTTAAGAATAAAAACCAGTTGTATATTAGAGTGCCTTTTTATGTAACAAATATTAATTATCAAACTTGTAAGTGATCGCACCATGTCAATATTTTTCCAGCTAATGTGTCGCGGGTATTTGTTCTTGCTAAGCTAATTCGTTCTTAGCAAAATATAGTGTGTCTTGATGGGATGTTTTTGTGTGTACTTTCTAACTTGCATAGTTCAAGTTTTAAGAAAGGAAATAAAAGAAATAGAGGGATGGATACCCTTGAGGATGTGGGTTGGTGATGCAGAGCGACTGTGTGTGTGTGTGTGTGTGTGTGTGTGTGTGTGTGTGTGTTCTTTGGGTTCTAAGATGGAATGTAGGGGCTTGGAGTGACCTCGGGTATGGGCAGGAAAGTCCCAGGGCCGGAGAAGTGAACCTGTGTTTTTGTGTGGTGTGTGTGCGTGTGAAGCCTGGGGCTCAGTTAGTCACCCTGGGGTACTATGCATTGAAGAGGAGGGGTGGGTGACATGCAGTGTGGGAAAAAGGGGACTGATCTAGGGGTCATGGTCCTTGTTAAGCAGCTGTGTAATTTGGGGCAAGTTACTTAATTTCTCTTAGTTTCCATTCCTTTTAAAAAAGAGACTTGGATTTAGTAATATCTGAGTCTTCTTTCAAGCGTATTCATCACTGATATAAATGTCAATAAATTAAGCTGATCAAATAAAATGTTTTCTAGCAGTAAGATATACTTGAATAACTGGGTCTAAAGCTAGAGTTTTAACTAAGTGATACTTGTAGATTCTTATTGTAACTTTTTAGGATGAAGATTTGGGAACGATTCATATGGAAAAAAAATTTTTTTAGTTGGTAAGTTTGAGAACCATGTTAATACAGTCTGGACACACACATCTGTTAATGCAGCTCGAAATTGTGCACAGTTTGTTTAGTAGCTTTTATTATCTAGGTATCCCCCCACAAACTGAAGTTTACTCTGTCATGTTTTTTTTTTTGAGATGGAGTCTCACTTTGTCACCCAGGCTAGAGTGCAGTGGCGCAATCCTGGCTGACTGCAACCTCTGGCTCCTGGGTTCAGGTGATTCTCCTGCCTCAGCCTCCGGAGTAGCTGGGACTACAGGCGCCCACCACCATGCCGGGCTAATTTGTATTTTTAGTAGGGATGGGGTTTCACAATGTTGGCCAGGCTGATCTTGAACTCCTGACCTCAGGTGATCCGCCTGCCTCGGCCTCCCAAAGTGTTGAGATTACAGGTGTGAGCCAATGTGCCTGGCCTATTTCGTTTTTTTTTTTTTTTGAGACGGAGTCTCACTCTGTCACCCAGGCTGGAGTGCAGTGGGGTGATCTCTGCTCACAGCAAGCTCCGCCTCCCGGGTTCGCGCCATTCTCCTGCCTCAGCCTCCCCAGTAGCTGGGACTACAGGCACCCGCCACCATGCCCGGCTAATTTTTTGTATTTTTAGTAGAGATGGGGTTTCATCGTGTTAGCCAGGATGGTCTCGATCTCCTGACCTCGTGATCTGCCAGCCTCGGCCTCCCAAAGTGCTGGGATTACAGGCGTGAGCCACCGCGCCCGGCCTATTTCAGTTTTAAAACTAAATACAGCCCTCGATTCCCTGTAGATATTCATTTTTGGTTTTGGACCATCATTTCAGCCTACTGTGAGCTTTCTGGAGCTGATTCGGTCAGGCTGTGCGTGTTGGGTCACTCACAGGTTTTTTTCACTTGCAAATATGAAGAGCAGTTCTATGGCTTCATTAAATTAATAGAAGTTGTCTAGATTGTGAAAAAGGATGGAACCCTGCGACATATTACTGGAGACTTTCTACCAACTTGGTTGATGTTGTTACGTTAGTCAACCAGATGTTCAACTAGCTATGCATCCTGTTAGTTGAATTTAACAGATTTTCGAGCTTCTGCTGTTCAACATTTTCCCATTTTGTTCACCAGCCTATTATTTAAAAGATTCTTTCAGATTGTCTTGTTAGATTGTTATGTGTATATATCATCCTGTCATCCTCCCTTTTTCCATTTTAGTAATCCTGTTAAATAAAAAGCACATGTTGTATAGCCTGCCTTAATAAAGAGCTGATGGTGGCTTTCTCATTTTACTGTATTCGAAAACTTATTTATCCATTTTAGAATTTTTCAGCAGTTACATAGCAGGTTTACCCACAGATGTTTTTCTGGATCTGCATTCCGCCTTTTTTTTTTTTTTTTTTTTTTTGAGATGGAGTCTTGCTCTGTCGCCCAGGCTGGAGTGCAGTGGCATGATCTCGGCTCACTGTAACCTCTGCCTTCCAGGTTCAACCAGTTCTCCTGCCTCAAGCCTCCCGAGTAGCTGGGACTACAGGCGCACACCACCACGCCCGGCTAATTGTTTGTATTTTAGTAGATATGGGGTTTCACTGTGTTGCCCATTCTGGTCTCGAACTCCTGAGCTCAGGCAATCCGCCTACCTCGGCCTTCCAAAGTGCTAGGATTACAGGCATGAGCCACTGCGCCCGGCCTGCATTTCTCCTTTTTTGAAATTTGAGCATGTGTTTATTTCTATTTATTTGATTTCTGGTCTTCTGGCACCTTGTCAAGGTAGCTTAGATAATTTGTGGTAGTTTTTAAGGCAGATGTAAAAGTTTTTTCAGCATCATGGAGTGTGAGTTATTTGGATCAGAAAGCATATTCTTTTGAACTAGCTCTGTATTCTGTTACTGTCCCCTACCCATGCCACTTACCTTAGAAGCTGGTTTCCTTTTATCAGATTTCTGACCTCCCTAGCTTGAAGATCATGCTTCTTGATGAAGATGAAGCATAGGGAATTGGCCCTGTTGTCTCTTGATATTGCATCTTCCCTAAGCAATGGGCCTTTGGTTTATCTCTTCTTGTTCTCAACAAGACTTTTTTGTTTGTTTGTTTGTTTGTTTGAGACAGGATCTCATTCCTGTCGCCCAGGCTGGCGTGTAGTGACGCAATCTCAGCTTACTGCAGCCTCAGCTTCTTGGGCTCAGGTGATTCTCAGCCTCCTCAGTAGTTCAGACTACAGGTGCGTGCCACCACACTCGGCTAATTTTTTGTGTTTTTAGTAGAGACAGGGCTTCGCCATGATGCCCAGGCTGGAACAAGACTTCTTTTGTTGTCCTCTTGCCCCAGTTCTCCACTTATTCTGGACTTTAGACTTATTGAGATTAAAAGAAAAACTTCGATTTTATATCTTTTTTATTTATGCTTATTTTTTTTTAAAGCTAACTTAACAGAAAGTTCCCAGTTATCCAAAGAGAAAAAAAGCTTGGAAATACATGACATATGTGAAGAAAGATAAACTTGAATTTAGGAGACCAGGTAACCTTAGACTGACTGACTTTGTTTTTCATTTGTGAAATGAAGATGATGATGGTCCTTTTTGGCTCTGGGATATTTGAGAAGAACAAATGAGACTAACCATGTGGGGCATTTCTAGCTTAGGGAATATGGTTAAAGAGGTAGAAGAACATACTGAGAGACCAGTAAGTGGCATTTCGTGATAGATATAAGGTAGAGAATTTGAAATGGGTTTTAACTAGAAGTGGGTCCTCTGGATTATTATATGGTGGTAGGAATGGTATTAATGGACGATATAAATGTCAGATTATGAGAAGTGCCTTATTTGTGGCAATTCAGGATTCTTGGGAATAAAAGTGAGTTTTTCTAATTAATGGGGAATCTCGGGCAGGGCTTTTATCTTCTAGATCCCTGTTGTGTAAAATGTGGATGGATAATAATTAATTTAGCAAACCTTGATTGAATACTGCGTAGTGTAATCTAATATACTGGATGTTAAGGGAAATATATGAGAAGGCTTCCCTGCTTTCAAGGGCCTTATAATCTTATAGAGGTGGTTAGCCTCTTACAGATATATATAGTGGAAGTTTCTGTTTACCACATCTGGGCTTGCTTCCCTACAGCAGTCCCCATCAATAAGCATTTATTGAGCACGAACAAGATAGGATTTTTTAAAAGGGGTACAGTTAAGTGGATTTATATATATTCACAAAATTGTACGACTGTCACCACTCTCTAATTCCAGAAAATTTTCATCACCCCCAAAAGAAACCTCATAGCTATTAACAGTCATTCCACATTCCTCGCCTCCCCAGTCCCTGGTTACTACTAATCTACTCTCTATGGATTTGCCTATTCTAGATATGCATGCAAATGGGATCATATGAGGTGTGTTCTTTTGTGTCTGGCTTCTTTCCCTTAGCATAATGTTTTCAATGTGCATCCATGTTGTAGTGTGTATCAGAACTTCATTCCTTTTTATGGCCAAATAATATTCCATTGTATGGATAAACCACATTTTGCATATCCATTTCTCTACTGATGGATATTTGAGTTGTTTTTACTTTTTGGCTGTTATGAATAATGCTGCTGTAACATTCATGGACAAGTTTTTTGTGGACACATGTTTTCAGTTCTGTTGTGTATGTATCTAGGAGTGGAATTGCTTGGTCATATGGTAACTCTGTGTTTCACATTTTGAGGAATTACCAAACGGTTTTCCAAAGTGGCTGCACCATTTTACATTTCTACCAGCAATGTTTGAAGATCCTAATTTCTCCAGCATCTTCTCCAACACTTGTTATTGTCTGTCTGTTTGATTTTGGCCATCCTAGTGGGTGTGAAGTTATGTATCAATGTCGTTTTTATTTGTATTTTCCTAATGGCTATTGATATTAAGCATCTTTTAATGAATGTATTGGCTATCTGTATATCTTCTTTGGAGAAATGTCTATTCAGATCCTTTGCTGGGCTTGATTTTGACATCTTGGAGTAATCATTCCCTTAGTAAATCATACTAATCAGTTCCCACAGCAAGCACAGAGATGCTCAAATGCTAAGTTGGCTCTCGTTTGTCATTTGATTTTTCTGCTTACTAAGCAAGAGTCAGTTGTATTTGTTTTCAAACTTATTTATACCAGTGGTAATTATGAGTATAATTTAATAAATATTACTCAAATCGATGAAATATGAATACAAAAAGTTGTTTTTATGAAATGCTTTGAAAAGACTTGATAAAGACAAGAAGCTGAAAGAATTGCCTCTGAACGAATTAAATTATGGTTAAGACAACTGAAACAGAGTGGAGAAACCCTGTAAACTTTTGGAAGGATTTCCCAGAAAACACTGCAAGTATTTTTAAGCCCCTGTTCTACTTAAAGGAAAGGAAAATGGACATTGTAGATCTAATGGATTATGGGTGTGATTTATCTAAGGAAGTGGGGAACTGTGTTTGGCAGACTTACACTCAAAAAAAAGGTCTTGGTGCTACATTGGGAAATGAATGTATAATTATGTATTTAAGACTAAAATGGCTAAAATAGATATCATTTTAAATGGTTTCTGCCTTAACTGACTTTTTTGGTTAATAGATCAATGATCACTCTTGTATATGTTTGAAAAGAGGATTTCCACTGTACAAGGTGCCCTGAGGAAGATACAGATGTGGTGTCATGGGAATGTGTAATTCTGATTTGTAGGAATCAAAACTGGTTTCATGGAGTAAGTGGCACTCAAGCTGGGCTGTATGGGGAGAGTAGAATATCACCTAGAAACAACAGACGCACTTTTGCCTGAGGCCTTTGCTGTTGATGTTCCTTTGGCTTGGAATCTTCTTGTCCCAGTTCCTACAGTTGTTTGCTCTAATGTCACCTTCAGTGGTGCCTTAAATTACAGCCTTCTCCACCTTCCATCCACAATGTCTCTCTCATATCCTAATCTTCCTTCGTGCTTTTTCTTGCTCTAGGACACCTTTTCCTGTGTGACATACTATACGTTTTACTTGTTTTCTGTCTCTGTATGTAGCTCTATGAAGGCAGAGATTTTTATCTGTTTCGTTTACCACTGTATTGACAGTGCCCAGATTGGTGTCTGGTACGAAGTTAGGTTCCCATTACATATTTATTTGTGGAATAGATTAATGGCTGAATGAACATAGAAGCTGAACATAGATGAATGAACATAGAATACCTCTTAGGAAGGGTATTCTAGGCTGAAGGAATAGCTTTAGGAAAGGCACAAAGGTGGAAAAGAGAAGGGAGTCTTTTCGAAATACTAAATTGCGGGGATTAAGGCAGGAGATTATGCCACCACATTAAGGTCTTCAAGGCCCATCTGAAGTTTTGGCATTTGGTTCAAAGACATCAAGAAGCTTTTAAAGGGTTTGAGTGACATTATGGTTTTAGAAAACAAAGTCTGAAATTGGTGAAGATGGAATGGAGAAGGGAAGAGCCTGGCGGTACGATGAAAGATAATGGTAGAAATGGGAAGAATTGAGAGGACTTGTTTAGCCTGCACAGGTTTTTTGTTTATTTATTTATTTATTTTTATTTTTAATTGTTGTTGTTTTTTGAGACGGAGTCTAGCTCTGTCACCGGGCTGGAGTGCAGTGGCATGATCTCAGCTCAGTGCAACCTCCGCCTCCCAGGTTCAAGCGATTCTCCTGCCTTAGCCTCCTGAGTTGCTGGTACTGCAGGCGCATACCACTACGCCCAGCTAATTTTTGTATTTTTAGTAAAGACGGGGTTTCACCGTGTTGGCTAGGATGGTCTCGGTCTCCTTGTGATGTGCCTGCCTTGGCCTCCCAAAGTGCTGGAATTACAGGCGTGAGCCACTGCGCCCAGCCTAGCCTGCACAGTTTTTTAAAAAAGTTACATTGGTTGTTAGCCATTAAAAATCTGGAGGTTTCACTTGGCAATCTATTTTTCTGCCGACTCTTCTTCTTCTTCTTTTCTTTTCTTTCTTTCTTTCTTTTCTTTTTTTTTTGGAGACAGTATCTTGCTCTGTTGCCCAGGCTGGAGTGCAGCGGCTTGATCTTTGCTCACTGCAACCTCCACCTCCCAGGTTCAAGCGATTCTCCTGCCTCAACCTCCAGAGTAGCTGGGATTACAGGTGCACGCCACCACGCCTGGCTAATTTTTGAATTTTTAGTAGAGACGGGTTTTCACCATATTGGCCAGGCTGGTCTTGAACTCCTGACCTCAAGTAATCTGCCCGCCTCGGCCTCCCAAAGTGCTGGGATTACAGGCGTGAGCCACCACTCTGGCCTGCATTCTCTTCTAAACTTGGAGGTACTGTCAGCATTGGGCTTTTATTTCCACATTGCAAAAATCAGTCAGTGCTGTCTAGTGAGGCATGAGCTCTTTACTTTGCCCAGTCCTCAACCAGCCAGCCTCTTTTATTGATCTTTTTCTGCCTAAACTTCTGGATCTTCTGCTAGAGATGGTGGGGTGAGTTGTGATGCTCTTAATTTGAGATGGAGAGCCTGTTTGGAGGAGAGTCAAATTGGTGTACATTCCCTCATTCCTGTTATTCACAATTATATGTTTGGATGGGAGACCTTATTTCTCCAGTGCCTAGGTGTTTTGGTCTGAACTCCTCTCCTGCCTGTACTCCTTGTAACTTCCACTGTATTGTTCTTCTTTTTAACTCTTTCCTTGAATCCACTTCCTCCTTTGTATTTGAAACCTACCCTGCTATCTCTGATTATACCATTGTCCTTGAATCACTCTCTGATGTTTTTATGTCTATTTTTTTTTCTTAATTTTATCCCTTAAACTTTCCCTTTTGTCTCTTTCTAAATTCTTTAGGTGGATATAGATCATTATGTTTCTTTAACTCCATTGTCATTTATGATAAAATTTCTCTCATTGTTGTGAAACACATGAATTTATATATGTTACAGATGGGTTTTTTCATGATTTTGCGTTATGGTCTAAGAATGTGTCATATGGAATCTCTGGGTTTTCATATTAAAACTAGGTGCGTCCAGGCACAGTGGCTCATGCCTGTGATCCCAGCACTTTGGGAGCCCGAGGCGGGTGGATCACCTGAGGTCAGGAGTTGGAGACCAGCCTGGCCAACATGATGAAAACTCGTCTCTATTAAAAATACAAAAATTAGCCGGGCATGGTGGCGCATGCCTGTAATCCCAGCTACTCAGGAGTTTGAGGCAGGAGAATCGCTTGAACCTGGGAGGTGGAGGTTGCAGTGAGCCGAGATCGCACCGTTGCACTCCAGCCTGGGCAACAAGAGAGAAACAACATCTCAAAAAACAAACAAACAAACAAACAAACAAACAAGGTGTGTCATTGTATTCTAGTATGAAAACAAATTTTGTGAAAGATTCTTCTATCCAGAAGAGTTATTTCCTTGACTTCTCAGTCTCCATGTTATATTAACTATTATTTTTACTTAAGTTTACTTTATTTTCATGTAATTTCAAACTTAGAAAAATGTTGTAATAGTACACCCAGATTCCCCAATTAAGATTTTACCACATTTGCTTTAAGTCTCTCTTTGTGTATCTACTCTTTCTCTCTCTATCGTCTGTCTGTCTGTTTTTTTTTTCCCCTGAACTTGGCTCTGTCAAGTTGGCCCCTACCAAAGGGAGAGGGTTAATTTATGTTTTAGTTCCATACTTTAAATTTTTTGTTTTGTCATCTCCTCTTAATTAAATAGTTAAACTTCCACTTATAATGATAGGTTTATTTTTCACAGTTTTTCAGTTTTTCTTATATTTTTGTTATTCTATGTAGGACATATACATTGAACATTATTTTGTATCATAATTTGTTGTACTTTTTACCTTTGTATAGAGTAGATTTCAAGTATCTCTTGAAGTTATCATAGGACCCAACCTTTTCTGAATTTGTGTTTATATTTTAGTTTTTAGGTGTTGGGATTTGTCTCCCAATAGAGTTATAGATCATTCTGCTTTCAGTGGCATTCAACTCATTTACATTAAATTAAGTAATTGATATCTGTGCTACCCTCCATCATCATCTTTTTTCTAAATTGCACAATCCAGTGTTTTCGACTATAGTCACAAGGTTGTGGAACATTTTCATCTCCTCCAAAAGGAACTTTACATTTTTTTTTTTTTTTGAGATGGAGTCTCTCTCTGTTGCCCAGGCTGGAGTGCAATGGTGCGATCTTGGCTCACCGCAACCTCTGCCTCCTGGGTTCAAGCGATTCTCCCTGCCTCAGACTCTCGAATAGCTGGGATTATAAGCGCCCGCCACCATGCCTGGCTAATTTTTTTGTTTTTAGTAGAGGCGGGGTTTTACTGTGTTGTCCAGGCTGGTCTTGAACTCCTGACCTCAGGTGATCCGCCTGCCTTGGCCTCCCAAAGTGTTGGGATTACAGGTGTGAGCCGCCGCGCCTGGCCAAGGAACTTTACATTCTTTAGCAGTCACTCCCCAATCCCCACCTCTCCTCATCCAGCCCTAGGCAACCACTGACGTACTTTTTTTTTTTTTTTTTGAAACAGTCTCTATCCTCCAGGCTAGAGGACAGTGGTGTGATCTTGGCGCCCTGCAACCTCCGCCTCCCCGGTTCAAGAGATTCTCATACCTCGGCATGAGATTCAGGTGCCTGTCACTGCGCCTGGCTAATTTTGTATTTTTAGTAGAGACGGAGTTTCACTGCGTTGGCCAGGCTGGTCTCAAACTCCTGACCTCAAGTGATCTGCCTGCCTCGGCCTCCTAAAATGTTGGGATTACAGGCATGAGCTACCAACCCTGGCCATGATTTACTATCTTTTGCTGTAGATTTGTCTATTCTGGACATTTCATATAAATGGAATCATACAATATGACCTTTTATAATTGGCTTCTTTCTCTTAGCATGATGTTTTTAAGGTTAATCCATGTTGTAGGATGTATCAGAATTTCATTCCTTTTTTTTGACTGAATAATATTTCATTGTCTCGATAATACCACATTTTGTTTATCCATTCAGTATCCATTCATCTGTTGATAGACATTTTTTTGTTTTTACTTTTTGACTATTATGAATAATGCCACCATGGATATTCATGTACAAGTTTTTGTGTAAATACATTGTTTCATATCTCTTGGGTGTATGTATTCCACCTAGGAGTGGAATTCCTGGGTCACGTGGTGACTCCATGTTTAACATTTTGAAGATTTGCCAAACTGCTGTCCATGTAAAACTCTATGTTTAACATTTGAGGATTTGCCAAACTATTGTAAATGGTTGCAGCATTTCACATTTTCATCAGCTATGTGTGAACATTCCATTTTCCACATCCTCACCAACCTTTGTTATTGTCTTCTTTGTTATAACCAACCATCTTCATTTAAGTTCCTATTTGTTATCCTTCATTTTCCCTATATATGTGGTTTCTTTAATGGAATTTAAATTCTCAATTTCTTTTAAGCTGGATTGGGAGATAACTTCAACCTATTTATCCCCCTTCATTTTTTACATTGTTAGAAACATTGTCTTAACTTAACTATTTTCTTTATTCATATAATTCTATTATTAGCTTCTTGAGCATTTAGGGGCTTGGCATACTTCTCATGTACTTGGAAATTCTATACTTAAATCTGAAAATTCTCTCCGTATATGCTTTTAGTTTATTAGGTAACTTAATTTATTGTAATTCCTTTGCTACTATTCAAATTCATCTATTTTTTAAAAAGTATCATGTATTTTCCATGGCTCAGCAGCCTTGTCATTTTTTCAGAAGTCATTTAAGGTTCTAAAGTTCTTAACGTATTCTTGTACCTTTAAAAACTTTGGCAGGTTATTATATTTTCAACCACAGCTCAATTTCTCTCTCTCTTTTTTTTTTTTTGCAAATATTCTGAGTCTGTCTTTTCCATGGATTAAAAAAGGGAAAAAACCCACACCTTTTTTCTTTGTTATAAGAGCAGTATATAATCTGTGTAGAAAATTTGAGGAATATGGAAAAATATGAAGAGGAAATCTGGGATAATTGCCATTCTCTTCTTTAATCTCAGTGTTTATGCTAAATTATTTCATTTTTCATCAGAAAATTTTTGAACTTGAGTTTTGCTCTTTTTGCCCAGGCTGGAGTGCAATGACGTGATCTCGGCTTACTGCAACCTCTGCATCCCAGGTTCAAGTAATTCTCCTGCTTCAGCCTCCTGAGTAGCTGGGATTACCGGCGCGTGCCACCATGCCCAGCTAATTTTGTATTTTTAGTAAAGATGGGGTTTCACCATATTGGCCAGGCTGGTCTTGAACCCCTGACCTCAGATAATTGGTCCGCCTCGGGCTCCCAACGTGTTGGGATTACAGGCGTGAGCCACAGCACCCGGCCTGAACTTTTAAAAAAATATTCATGTTGTTTTGCTTTGCATTTTCTGTTTATGCTGGAGCCACTGTTGTTCAGAGGTCAGATCTCCTTCTGGGATGTTTTATTTTTATTTTTTGAGACAATGTCTCCCTCTGTTGTCAAAGCTGGAGTGCAGTGGCATGATGGCTTACTGCAGCCTTGACCTTCCAGGCTCAATTGATCCTCCTACCTCAGCCTCCTGAGTAGCTGAGACCACAGACGTGTGCCACCATATCCAGCTAATTTTTAAAAATTATCTTTTGTAGTTACGGAGTCTCTCTATGTTGCCCAGGCTGGTCTCGAACTCCTGGGCTCAAGTGATACTCCCGCCTCAGCCTCTCAAAGTACAAGCATGAACCACTGTGCCTGGCTAGGAATTTTTAAGTTCAGTTTATTTTTGCCTTGTCAGCTTTCATTTAATATTGTTTTGCACGTGAAACTAAACTGCTGATGTTGCTGTATCAATTCTGTTGTTTATAGCCCAGTTGATATATTTAGATTCTTTATTGTTCACAAGTCAGCTCAATCTTTTAGTGTCCTGTATTCATTTTCTATAGCTTTTTTTCTTCTTTCTCTTTATTTTATTTTTTAAAAAATTTTTAATTTTTATTTATTAGTATTTTTTGAGGCAGGGTCTCACTCTGTCAGCCAGGTTGGAGTACAGTATCACTATCTTGGCTCACTGCAACCTCTACCTCCTGGGTTCAAGCAATTCTTGTGCCTCAGCCACCTGAGTAGCTGGAATTACAGCTGCCCACCACCATACCTGGCTAATTTTCTTCTGTATTTTTAGTACAGATGGGGTTTCACCATGTTTGCTAGGCTGGTCTCGAATCCCTGGCCTCAGGTGATCTGCCTGCCTTGGTTTCCCAAAGTGCTGGGATTACAGGCTTAAGCCACTGCGCCCAGCCTCCTTCTCTCTCTAAAGTGGTTTGAGGTGTTTTCTAGGTGGTACACTTGTGTTTACCATTGTTTACTTCAAGGTTATACCATAAGCACATCCTAATTCCCATTTATTTAGACCTAGTTTTAAAAAAATTATTCAATGTTTTACAACAAAATTTGTCGGGGTTTCTGGTTATGGTAGTGTCTTTTTAAGTTTGTTTTTGGTGGTTTCAGCCAGAGTAACAGTCAGTTTTCTTCATAGTTTGCAGTGTTCTTTTATAAGGATCTCTTATAACCATTGGAATCCTATAAGGGATTATTATACTCCTTTTTTTTTTTTTAAATTCTAGGAAACTGGGATTCTCAGATTTAGCACTTGGTCAAGATCATATAGTTACTTTTACTTAATCAAATAATTGGAACCCCAAGTCTGGAACTCTTTCTAATGCACCAGAATTTTGTGAAGTCTTTAAAAAATTATCTTTTAAAATCATTAATACCAGGTTTTTCAGTGCCAGTATGCAAGTTGCTGTGTAGATTTTCATCTTTGTGGGTGATTTCCCTGGGTTCTGGCTACCTCCTATTCTACTTAGTGTTGCAGACACTAAGGGATAGTGGTTAGAAATAGAACCAGAGGACATTGTTCTTGTGTTTAGATTAATTATTGATTTAAAAAACAGTTTAATGAAGGAAATGTATTGAGTATACCTGCAAAATCTTATATATGTAAACCGGCATATGTTTCAAAATAATGGGATTATAACTGTATGTATAGTTTTACAATGTGTTTTTTTTCACAATAGGTCTTAGTTGTCTTTTCATATCACTACATGTGTTTCTACCAAAGTCTGTGTAGTATTATGTCAATAATTTAATTCCCAAAAGATAGACATTTAGATTGTTTTCTACTTTGGTTTTACAGAAAGTGCTGACGTTAACAATCTTGGACATAGGTTTTTGTATGTTTTTCTTTTATATCTGTTATAGTTTCCTGGAAATGTTGGGTAAAAGGATAAAGACAATTAAAATGGCAATGCATATGGACACATGAGAGGTTGTGCCACTATGTACTTCCACAGTTGGTTTGAGTGCTCATTTTTCTATACTTTCTCCAGAACTGGTGCTAATAAAAAACAATAGTAGCTTACACTTAATAGAGTACTTATTATGTGTATTATTATTTTGCTCTAAGTGCTTTCCATATCTTTAATCCTCCGTCAGAATTTTGAGATAGGTGCTGTTATTGTCCCCATTTTGTAGATGAAGAAATGGAGGCATAGGTGGTAAATTACTAAGCTCACACAGCTGTGATAAGTGGTAGAGCCGGGATGCTGGACAAGGTGGTCTGATGCCAGGGTGTCCCTCTTAAAAAACATATTATAATGCCTGTTTTTAATTTTTTTATTTCAATTTTTCCAAAATTTAAGCAGCATGATTTATATGATTTAAAAATTATTTCTATTTTTTATTGAGATAATTTTCATAATGTAAAATTCAGCATGTTAAAGTATACAATTCAGTGGTTTTCGTACATTTACTATATTGTGCAGTGATCATCACTATCTACCATCTAATTATAGAACATTTCTATCACCCCAGAAAGTTTCTACCTGTTAACAGTCAGTCCCACTACTCCACACCCCCATCCCCTGGTAACCACATAGAGACTTTCTCTGTGGATTTATTTATTTTGGATATTTCATATAAATGGAATAATACAATGTGTAGCCTTTTGTGCCTGAGTTATTTCTTTTAACATAATATTTTCTTTTCCTTTTTCTTTTTTTTGGAGATAAGATCTCTGTTCCCAGGCTGGAGTGTGGTGGTGCAATCATGGCTCACTGCAGCCTTGACCTCCGGCTCGTGATTCTCCTATGTCAGTCCCCCAGTAGCTGAGACTACAGGCATGTGCCACCACGCCTGGCAGATTTTTGCATGGGGGTTTCACCATGTTGCCCAGACTGATCTCAAACTCCTGGGCTCAAGCAATCCTCCTGCCTTGGCCTCCCAAAGTGTTGGGATTACAGGCGTGAGGCACTGCACCCTGCCTACATAATTTTCAAGGTTCTTATATACTGTAGCATGTAATTGTTTTATTTGATTTTAAAAGTAATACAAGTTTGTTGTAAAACTCAATTCAGAAAAATACAGAATAATGAAGAAAGCTTAAATTCTACCGAGAGATAACTGTGGTTCCTATTTTGGTGGGTATACCTTCCAGGTTTTTAAAATAGGCATTAAAAAAAGTTTGTGTTACATACATTTTAAAAAGCCTGACTTTAAATGTGTCATGTCAGGAAATGTAGAGATTTTTCATCATTAATTTTAATAACCGCACCATAACAGATTCAGTTTATGGTTTGCCAGGCTAGTGTCAGAACCCCAGAGATCAGAAACATCCATGAGGAAGAGAGTGTCACAGCTCTGAGATCTTTGGCTAGGATTGGCGAGGCCTGGAAAGACCCTGGGAGACTTAACCACTCAACTCTGTACCCAGGCCTTTTCTTCCATCTGATCTTACAGTAGTTTTTCTCCCTGTCACCTTGCCTGGAGAGTCCTGATACAGGCATTTAGAATTAAAGTAGGCAGCGGGGGAAGATTGCAGGAGTGGGGGTGGAGGATTGACAGGAGCAATGTGGTTTAACAAAGGGTAGTTGGCAGTAGTATGCAAAATGGAATGAAAAATATTGGAGTCAGACGATTGTGTGGCATATGTGAAATTTCTTTCGTTAAGTATAGCTTAGAGAAGTTTTAGCCATCTCTGCAGTTGATGCTTTTTAATATTAATGTAAACTGCTTTTGGTTTTGTATCATAAAATATTAGGTAAAGTTTCTTTTTCCTCCTCATATCTTTATACTAGAAGATAACTAATATGATTAGTAAACAAGTTGAAGAGGATTTAATTTCTAATTTTTCTGATTTCCTGGGACTTGAAGTCAACATTTGCTAAATCTATTGCTTGATTTTATACCCTGAAATGTATTTTCAGTGATTTGTGTCATTAGAGGTGCCCCTCAGATTGGTTGGGAGTTGAAGTCATATCTGGGAAAAGAAAAAAAGTGAATATTTGTTGTATAACTACTTGTTTTAGGCACGATTGCTTTTGAATACATTATCTAATCATTACAATATCAAAGGAAAGTATTATTCTAAAAGGAGAACTACCACGTGAACTTGGCCCTTCCTGATATCTAAACTTATGCTTCGTCTGTGGTATAGCAAACTGTCTCTGGGGTTGTCTTTGAAATCACATTGAGGTTTTTTTTTTTTTCCCCATTAAATAATAACCAATATAGAAACTTGAAAAGGGGAGAAATCACTCATTGTTTAACTGCTGTAACAGGTTACTGTTACCGGTTTTGTTTATTCCTGGCTGGATTATCTTATATGTATGGTGTGTGTGTGTGTGTGTGTGTGTGTGTGTGTGTGTATGTGTGTATGTGTGTATGTGTGTGTTTGAAATGAGTTTCACTATATTGTCCCGGCTGATCTTCAACTCCTGGTCCTTCTGCTTCAGCCTCCAAAGTAGCTGGGACTACAGGCCTGCATCACAGTGCCTGGCAGGTTTTTCATATAAAATCATAGTCTGTGTATATAGTTTTGTGGTCTGCATTTTCACTTTAACATTAATAAGCTTATTTCCATATTCTATAATATACATCTTTAAATAGCTTTATAATATTCCATAGTTGTACCACACCATTTCCTGGTGTGCAATATTTCAAATATTTAAATATTTTAAATGTTTCTGCTATTTTCAGTATAGAGATCATGGAATTGTTTTGTAGGCAGTTGGGTACATGTTCAAGAACAAACTGGCCTTGTTCTGGGAGTGAAACCATCCAGCAGGGTCCTGTCAGATTGGATTGGTTTGCTTTTCTGAAAAAGGGCAGATTTCTCCAAATACTACTAACATCTAGACAGTCAGTATAAACTCATGACAAATTTTTTTAAAGGACAAGGTGAAAAGTTTGAACATATTCTGTGGGGAGTCAATACAGAATCCAGTAGAGATGAATTAAAGTTTTCCACATGTTAATAAGGCCTTAGGGAACATTAATTTATAGGACTTTCCCCAGCAGTGCTCTGAAGACTGGAAATAGCACTAGCAAAAACAGATGACATGGCTTTAATATGGTTGGGAAAACCAGGTTTGAAGACTCGAAGTGGTGGGTGTGAATGTGAATACTGCCAGAGAATGAACAAAATGAGATGACACATGGGATGGTTGAAGGCAGAACATTTACTATACAGTAGGGATCCTTTTGTCTTGGTCCCATAAGAATCTGGTAGTTATTTGGTTAATTGAGAAAGTTATTTAAAGTAGGGAGTCACAAAAATGATTCATAAGTGCATGTAACATTTTATTTTAACATACACATATTTATTAAATATTTTGAAAGAGGGCCTATAATTTTTCTTTGAGAATAGTTTCTTTCCTTTTTTTTTTTTTTTTGAGACAGAGTCTCGCTCTGTAGCCCAGGCTGGAGTGCAGTGGCACGATCTTACTCACTGCTACCTCTGCCTCCTGGGTCGCAGTTCAAGCAATTCTCCTGCCTCAGCCTCCCGAGTAGCTGGGATTACAGGCTCGTGCCACCACGCCCAGCTAATTTTTGTATTTTTAGTAGAGACGGGGTTTCATCACGTTGGCCAGGCTGGTCTTGAACTCTTGACCTCATGATCTGCCCGCCTTGGCCTCCCAAAGTGCTGGGATTGCAGGCGTGAGCCACCGCACCTGGCCTCCTCTTTCTTGAACAAACCACTTGTATAATGCATTGATAACAAACTCCAGTTTTAATCCCTTTAAAAAGGAAGCTAAAGACTTGTGGATGCAGAATTCTAAATGCAACTGTAGGTTTTTTTTAAAAAGTAGCTCACCTTATTCAAGTCTTTGAGTTTAGTTTTCATAGAAGTAATTTATTTTCACTCATATGAAATGTTGAAATCACATAATTGTAGTAACAACTACATAGGCTGGGTAGCTGACTCTTGAAGCACAAGAACAGCTACCTTGGTTGGAGCTAAAGTGCTCATGGATGTTCTAGAGAGGGCCTAGTAGCCTTGAGAATTCATTGTGCCATAGGCATTGCTCTGTAGGTTTTATAGAGAATGACACACTTTGGTTAATCTGGAGAGTTGATTAAGTTGGAGATAAGTTCTAAGAGTGTTATTGACACGGACTGGGCAGTAGGAGAAGGAAAAAGGAGTGGGTAAATGAAAAGAGGTCAGAAAATTGGGGGGATAATGAAGACTGTTTGGTTACAAGGGGAGGCCAGAAGTGTCAACTGCTCTAGAAGGGTCAAGAAAAGGATTGGAGGATTTAAGAAAAAAGCCACTGGATCTGAGGTTGCTTTGACCTTGAAGAAGAAGAGTTGCTATAGGAAGAAGGAGGAAGTGAGGCCTGCTGGAGGTTAAGGTACTATTAAAGGTGGGGGATTTAACATAAACTTGGAATCAATATATTTAGGTTCCTCTACTGAAATGGAGAATAGCTGTGGCAGTATGTTGAGATCTTTTGAGATTGCCGATTATTTGACTAATTTTCCTTGTAGTGATTGTGTCAGAGAATTAGATGTAAAGTGTTTGCTTTCCCTTTACTGTAGTTTTCAACTGGGGACAGTTTTGCCCCCTTCCCCCCTCTCCCCCCCACAGGATGTGGTTGCTTATGTCCAGACAATTTTGGTTGTCAGAGCTGGTGTGGTCCTACTGGCATCTAGTGGGCAGAGGCCAGGACTGTTGCTAAACAACCTCCAGTGTACAGGATATTCCCTACAACAAAGAATTATCTGGTTCCAAATGTCAATAGTGCCCAGACTGAGAAACCCTGAGTTCTGTTG